>NT_187500.1:0-41891 GCF_000001405.40 Homo sapiens | reverse complement strand
GATCTCATCCCATTAGGACCCTTGTCTCCTTTTCTGTTGCCTTTTCCCACTGGCTCTGGCAACAGGGGTCTTTCTTTCTCCTTGGCTATCTTTGGATATGGGGGCTCCGTCTTCTGTGCCACCTTAGGGAATGCCTTTTGCAGGCATGGCTAAGTCATTAAAAAGCCTACAGTTTCAGTAACATTTTGAGTGAGCACTCTCTGAAGCTGCGTTGGAATCTCAGGCTTCTTTGTCTGGAAGATAACTCTTGGGCTACAAGTTTCTTATCCTAGCTTTGGTTTTGAGGCCTCTCTGTTCTCCTCTTGGGTTGGAAGTTATTCCTGGCTTTTTGTTTCAAGGTGTCTCTGTGATCTTGATCTTGCTGCTTTCATGGGAACTTCTCAGTTCACTAAATTCTCCCTTCTCCAACCTCTGCTGACTATGTGTTCCACCAATATGGAACTAATTCTACTTCTTTTCCTGTTTGCATGACTTTACTAAGAATTATTTACAACTTTAATGGCTCCTTTGAGAAAATTTTTATTTTCCAAATTGCCTCCTTTTAGACCTTTCCTTTCCCAGTTGAGTCTCTCAACTCCCTATAATCACTGAAACTTCAGGCACCCCACTCCATGCCTTGGAGGCTCTCAATGTGCTCAAGAATCTGCAAAAGCAAACACCTGGGGCTGAAGAATAAAATAGAAAAAAAATTATTTCTCAGCCTCCATAAGATTCTATGTCAAAAAAAAAAAAAGAAAATCTTTAAAATCTCCAAAAATATTGGTGAGAAAAAAGCCTTAGCCCTCATATGAAGAAGAAAAAACTTGTTCCATTTTCCAGATACATAGTTATAATACAAATATAAAATGGGGCAAAGACAAAAACCAAGTCTTCTATATAAACTAGTGAATTTTGTAGTTATTGTAATCACATTAGGCAGGGCTCTCCATAAAGGCAGAATCAATAGGATATATGTAGATAGATGAGAGAAGATTCATTAGGGGAACTGGTTCACATAATTATGGAGGCTGAGAAGTTCCACAATAGCCTGTCTCCAAGTTGGAGAACCAGGAAAGCTGGTAGCATGGCTCACTCCAGATACAAAGGACTCAGAATCGGGGAAGCCAATGGTGTAACTCTGATTGTGAGGCCAAAGGTCTGAGACCCTGAAGTTCTGATGTCAAGGGCAGGAGAAGAAGGATGTTTCCATTTCAGAAGGAGATAATTCACCTTTCCTCTTCCTTGTTATTCTATCTGGACTCTCAACCAATTGGATTCTGCCTGTATTCATCCATTTTTATACAGCTATGAAGAAATACCTGAGTCTGAGCAATTTATAAAGAACAAAGGGGTTTAATGGGCTGACAGTTCCACATGGCTGCAGGGGCCTCACAATCATGGCAGAAGGGGAAGCAAAGCTATCCCTCTTCACATGGCAGCAACAAGAAGTGCTGAGCCAAAGGGGAAAAGCCCCTTATAAAACCATCAGATCATGAGAACTCACTCACTGTCATGAGAACAGCATGGCGGTAACCACCACCATGATTCAGTCACCTCCCACTGGGTCCCTCCCACGACATGTAGGTATTACAGGAACTACAATTCAAGATGAGATCTGGGTGGGGACACAGCCAAACCATATCAGTGCCCATCCACATTGGGTCATGGTTATCTCAGTGTCTTCCAGAAACACCCTCATAGATATGCCCAGAAATCGTGTTTGACCAGCTATGTGTGTCTCTTAATCCACTCAAGTAGATGTCTAAAATTAACTGTCAGAATATTTATGCCTGATTCATGGCTGAAATTGTTTGACCAGCTGTGTGTGTCCCTTAATCCAGTCAAGTAGATGTCTAAAATTAACCGTCAGAATATTTATGCCTGATTCATGGCTGAAATTGTGTTTGACCAGCTATGTGTGTCTCTCAATCCAATCAAGTAGATGCCTAAAGTTAACCATCAGAATATTTATGCCTGATTCATGGCTGAAACCGTGTTTGACCAGCTATGTGTGTCTCTCAATCCACTCAAGTAGATGTCTACAATTAACCATCAGAATATTTACGCCTGATTCATGGCTGAAATCGTGTTTGACCAGCTATGTGTGTCTCTCAATCCAGTCAAGTAGATGTCTACAATTAACCATCAGAATATTTATGCCTGCTTCATGGCTGAAATCGTGTTTGACCAGCTATGTGTGTCCCTTAATCCACTCAAGTAGATGTCTAAAATTAACCGTCAGAATATTTATGCCTGATTCATGGCTGAAATTGTGTTTGACCAGCTATGTGTGTCCCTTAATCCAGTCAAGTAGATGTCTAAAATTAACCATCAGAATATTTATGCCTGATTCATGGCTGAAATCGTGTTTGACCAGCTATGTGTGTCTCTCAATCCAGTCAAGTAGATGTCTACAATTAACCATCAGAATATTTATGCCTGATTCATGGCTGAAATCGTGTTTGACCAGCTATGTGTGTCTCTCAATCCAATCAAGTAGATGTCTAAAGTTAACCATCAGAATATTTATGCCTGATTCATGGCTGAAATCGTGTTAGACCAGCTATGTGTGTCTCTTAATCCAGTCAAGTAGATGTCTACAATTAACCATCAGAATATTTATGCCTGATTCATGGCTGAAATCTTGTTTGACCAGCTATGTGTGTCTCTTAATCCAGTCAAGTAGATGTCTACAATTAACCATCAGAATATTTATGCCTGATTCATGGCTGAAATCGTGTTTGACCAGCTATGTGTGTCTCTCAATCGGATCAAGATGTCTGAAATTAACCATCAGAATATTTATGCCTGATTCATGGCTGAAATTTCAGGATGAAAGCTATGAAATCTCTATTTGTGTTTGTATATCTATTAATGTATGTTATGTATATGTGATATTTTCTTAACTCCAGAGAGCATTGCAAAATTCATTTATGAAATCCTCTAAAAGTGCTCTATTCTAACTTGGCTTGGAAAAAAATAAGCATTTATAAATAAATATTCACCAAACTCCTAGAAATATAGGAACTGATCAAATGTTTCTTAAGTTAACATGATTTGGATAAAACTTAGTTAAATAAGATTAATATAGTATTTTTGGTGTAATAAAACAACTATATCTTCAAAATTATCATTATTGAATATAAAACAAGCATAAATTCCTATTCTGCTTGAGTTCTAGTCAAATAAGCTAATATTATACTTACTAGAAACGTAAAATCTTAAAGCTTATAGATTTGATTCTAATTAAGTTGTCATTCTTATGAAAAACATTATTTTTTTATGCTGAAAAAATACACATATATTTAGAGTTAGCCAGCTGGACTCAGTTTAGATGATCCCAATTTTGTTACAACATCGAAAGCATCATAATCAGGAGCAAGTCGAACATATGCCTTGTTCTCTTTATCAGGACAAATCAGGGTGGTGACCTTGGCCACATCACTGTCATAGAGCTTCTTCACAGCCTGTCTGATCTGGTGCTTGTTGGCTTTAACATCCACAGTGAACACAAGCGTGTTGTTTTCTTCTATCTTCTTCCGGCCGACTCAGTGGTCAGCGGAAACTTGATGATAGCATAGTGGCCAAGCTTGTTTCTCCTGGGGGTGCTCTTCCGAGGATATCTGGGCTGCCTCCGGAGTCGCAGTGTCTTGGGCCGCCTGAAGGTGGGTGACATGCGGATCTTCTTTTTTGCGTGTGGCTGCGGACACCTTTCAACACTGCCTTCTTGGCCTTTAAAACCTTCACTTTGGCTTCGGCTTTAGGAGGAGCAGGAGCTTCCTTCGCTTTCGGTGCCGTCTTGTGAAAAGCGAAAAACTTTATTTCAAAAATAATTTGTTTACAGTAAATCTGCCTAAGAATAGTTTCCAAAGTACTTTTGGTAATTTTTAACCTTAAAGTTAAGCTAAGTAAAAGATTTGCATTAAATATCTAGACCATTTATAAATAAGATACAATACTAAAACATTAATTACTGAACATAAATAATTCAAGTTTATATACTTTTGGCTTCCTGTTTTTACAGAGAGACTAAAGATATTTTGGCCCGTTAATAAACATGTTTTTTTCTGCCACACTGAGGAATTGTATTATGAGAAAACACATCCCTCTAGATGTTGGGAGATGGTATATTCATACATTTTCTAACCTACTATAGAATGCTAATATATGACAGTTTATAACTGTCTACTTCCTAGTTTTCTCTGGAAAATAAAAGATTACTAAGTATTAAAATTATAATCAATATATGTAAATAAAACTACTAGAAATAATAGAATAACTAGAAACAACTCTATGCAAAGCATGCAAGAAAAGTAGGGCATGTTTCGCAAGTAAAGTAGGTTGCATTTTTTATAAGGAAAACCATACAGAAGATACAAATAAAAAGAGATACCTAACCTTCCCTGTGTTATATTTGTATGGGTAAAATGTTATGTTTTCAGAAATTATATAAAATTCCTGGAAGTTTGTCAATGTCCTCCTTATCCATGCTATGTGCTACTATAGAGTAATGAGTCATAATTCCAATTATTACTTTAAATGTTGTGCCAGGCACAGTGGCTCATGCCTATAATCCCAGCACTTTAGGAGGCTGAGGCGGGTGGATCACAAGGTCAGGAGATCCAGACCATCCTGGTTAACTCGGTGAATCTCCATCTCTATTAAAAATATAAAAAATTAGCCGGGCGTGATGGCAGGCACCTGTAGTCCCAGCTACTCGGGAGGCTGAGGCAGGAGAATGGCGTGAACCCAGGAGACAGAGCTTGCAGTGAGCCGAGATCGCACTGCTGCACTCCAGCCTGGGCGACAGAGCAAGACTCTGTCTCTAAATAAATAAATAAATAAATGTTGTCTGCCACAGAAAAAATCGAATATTTTGGTAGAAACCCTGTCTCTACCAAAAATACAAAAATTAGATGGGCATGACGGCATGTGCCTGTAGTCCCAGGTAATCAGGAGGCTGAGGAGGGAGGATCGTTTGCACCCAGGAGGTAGAGGTTGCAGTGAGCTGACATTGCACCTTTGCACTCCAGCCTGGGCGATAGAGCCAGACCCTGTCTCAAAAAAAATTTTTTTAAAGGAAAACTATAGCCATTGTGAGTTATCAGATTCTAGTCTTGTTTCTTGTTTCTGGGCTATTTTTACCTCTTTGTAAACTGGATCCTGCCATCTGATGAATTTTGTCCCACAATGATACTTGGGGAACAAGAAGCCAAGTATTGTCTCTCCTACTAATGTATCTATTGTCAGTTAATTTGAAGGTCTCCAACCCTGGAACAAAGTTAGAAGAGGAAGGTTCTACTCCCCAAAATGCATAACCAAATTGTGCTACATTCATGTAATGGAATACTATTTAGCCATAGAAAGGAACAAGATATCAACACACACAAAGACATGAGTGAATCTTGCATGCACATTGCTAAGTGGAAGAAGACAGTCTGAGGAGGATACACACAGTGTGACCTCATTTAATGAGACACTGGGGAAGGCAAACTACACAGATGGGAAGCCATTGGCTCCATGGGGTGGGGGTTTGAGGCATTCCATATGATACTTTAATAGTGGGATATCTGCCACAATGCATTTGTCGAAATATGCAGAATTTTACAGCCAAATGGTTAAAGCAAACTCTATTCAAATTAAATCAAATTACTCAGGATGTGGAGTATCCCAGGACAGAATACATCATGTGAAAAAGAATTTATGCTACAAATTACGATGGTTTGGATGTGGTTTGTCCCCACAAAAACTCATGTTGAAATTTGACTCCCACTGTGTCAGTGTGGGGCGGTGGGGCCTAGTGGACGGTGTTTGGGTCGTGGGGACGGATCCCTCATGAATAGATTAATGTCCTCCATGGGGGTGAGTGAGTTCTGTTCTCACAGGAATAGATAATTCCTGCAGGAGCAGGTAATTAAAAAGAGTCTGGCTTCCTTGGCTTCCCTCTTGCTTTCACTTCTGCTATGTGATCTCTGGTGCACCCCTTGCTCCCCTTCCACTTTCCACCATGAGGTGAAAAAGACTGAGGCCCCGCCAGATGCAACTGCCCAATCTCAGACATTCCAGCCACCAAATGTGAACCAAATGAAACTTTTTTACTTATAAATTACGCAGCCTCAGGTATTCTGTTACAGAAGCACAAAATGGACTAAGACACAAATCTAGGTAAAAACTTTGAAAATAAATAGAATCTGTAGGCTGAAGGCACATGAACTATACTTCATTATTGGATTCCATTTTATAAAGTTCTTTCCAACAGAAGCAATTGTGAACAATTGTAAAACCACAGTGTCTGTATCTGGAGTAAAACAATGACTTACATAAGTCGCAGATGGTGGGAACCAGCTTTCTCACTGTTGAAGTGGGAGGTTACAAATTAGCAAGACGAGAAGGCTAGAATGATTCCTGTGATAGTAGATCAGAGGTGGAGACATCAACGTAAACTTATGCTTAGTTTAATATAGATACACACAGATCTACATAGAAAACTTTATAATTAGGTGTGTGTAGGTAGGTTAGACACGCACATATACTTCCTAGCATTGCTAATGAGGGACAAGATACAATGTGCATTCAACAGCCACATGTAAGTTTTCCCACCATTCTGAAAGGAATCAGGCTCTTTGAAGAAATGTCTGATACTAGAACTGGGACAGTAAATATAGGAGCCAGGATAATCTGGAAGTATCAGAAAGTAAGTACTAAAAAAATTAAAATATATCAAACAAAAATAAAAGCCAATAAAAACAGCTACCGATGGCCAACACAGGAAGGAATTGTGCAACATAATGCTATAGTGTCGAATAATAACTAAAGCTTAAAGTAATTATCTAGGTGTCTGTATTTGTATACCTAGGTGAATAAGCAAATGGAGTTGCATAGAAATCTCCTTTGCAAAAGAATTCCAAATAACTGATGTAGACACTCAGCCATCAAGAAGGTGGAGCCAACTCCTCACTCCGTAAGTGTGGGCTCTGCATAGTGACTTGCTCCAAAAGAACACATGCAGTACGGACAAGGAGGAAAAATAACTTCACAGTGGAGAAATCTGACAAACAGTAGCTCTGCCAAATGATCCAAGTGAATATCAAAGCTGACAGTTCACCTTGAGAACATGAAGTGACAATGGGGGGCATTCTACAAAATTCCTGACCAATCCTCCTCAGTGCTATGAAGGTCATCATGAGATGGAAAGCCTGACACACTGTCACAGCCAGGAAGAGCTTATGTGATGACTACATGTCGTGCGGGATCCTGGATGGGATCCTGGGTCAGAGTAAGATAGAACTAAGGGAATCCAAATGAAATATGAACTTCAGTTAATAACAGTCTATCAGTATTGGTTCATTAACTGCGGCAAATTATGTAAGATATTAATAAGCCATGTGAGACACACTGATAGAAGATGTTAATAAGAGAGGAAACTAGGTTGCGGCTACATGGGAAATCTCTGCTTTTTTTTTTTGACGATTTCTGTGTAAGTAAAAAAAAGACGTAAAATAAAACTTTATTTAAAACACTGTTTTTTTAACACTTCCTTGTTTAATTATTTATACCATGAATTACTAGTAATTGACACTGTTAACTAGTCCTGTTTTTTAAAATAAGAGCAATTATGACACAAAAAATTAAACAGTGCAGACTGATATATAAATCAAAACAAATGTCCTTTACATGTTTTCTGTTACAGTAGTAACAATATGTGTAAACTTAATTATCATATTTTTTTCTTGTGCTGTGGTTGTGTCCTGGGTTCATTCTCTAAAATGCTGTTCACCTTAGACCAGGAAAAATATTAACCATACAGACTCTGTTTCAAGTCATAGCTGAATATTTTCAAAAGAGTGACTTTGTAAAAACATGTTCCAATGGCAAATTGATTCATTGTGATGGGATCAATTATTCCAAAGACTTCTTGTCTTTATTTTGTTCCCATGCCTACCTTTTAGCCATAATACAACAGAATCAAATATTGGCCACTGGGAAAAAATATTCAAAGAAAGAAAGAATGTGAACAGAACTTATGACCATGATGATTCAATGTTTTACCACAATGCTTTCTAAAACAAAAGAGTCTAAAAGGATATTCAAAGTCAATTTCCTCAGCGAGGATTTGCAGAAAATGAGGAAACTAGAAAAACAAAAATGGCGGGACATTCTACGGGTGATTTTAAATGTTGCTATGTTTTATGGGAAAAAATACTTTACCTTTTAAAGAATCACAAAGAATTATTGGAAACCCAAACTCTGGAATGTTTGCAAATTTAGTTGAGCTTCTGTGTAATTATGTCTATATAGGTAGCCATGAAGTTGATGATTTCTTAAAAATCTGTGCCTTATTTGTGTAATAAAAGACACAATGAATAATTAATACTCATAGGAACACTTACGAAGGGAAAATAAATCTTGGGGACTCAAAATCACTAAGCTAAAGGGAAAAGTCAAGCTGGGAACTGCTTAGGGCAAACCCGCCTCCCATTCTATCCAAAGACACCCGTCTGATCACCTAGATAAATGCATACCTGATTGCCTCACATGGAGAGGGTAATCAGCAATGCAAAAGAATGAAACCATTTGTCTCTTACCTACCTGTGACCTGGAAGCCCCCTGTCTGGCCTTCTCACCTTTCTGGACTGAACCAATGTACATCTTACACGTATTGATTGATCTCTCGTGTCTCCCTAAAGTGTATAAAACCAAGCTGTGCCCCGACCACCTTGGGCCCATGTTGTCAGGATCTCCTGAGGAGGCATCACAGGCGCACATCCTCAAGATTGGCAAAATAAACTTTCTAAAAAATCTGAGAGCTGTCTCAGATTTTCAGGGTTCACACATGTAATGTAGGATGTCAATGTTTATAAAAGGGATGTTATTCTATCTACTATTAGAAATATGCTGTCAATTAACCTTAAACTTTCTCAACACAATAAAAAATGTTGATGAGGTACAAATAATATATCTAGGCTTAAATAGTGTTGCAAGTTTTAATATGCCTACTTTTCAATTTTTCAATACTATCTTTACTAATTTAACACTGTAAGAAAAATGAGTAATTAAAACATGAATAAAAGTGTTTACAGGGGATGCACATGTTTCCTCCAGCCTCTGCCTATACCCAACTTTCATCCCAACTGTCCTGATGGTGGCTCTAAGCATTTCTCCTTTCTCTATACCAAGATATCTCCCCAGAAACAAACCCAAATCTTACTATATGTTATGGCACGCTATGATGATGAGCAGCGATGAGCAGCCGAAGCCTCAAGGAAGGGATGCTTTTGTAAAACAAGACTTGTGGAATATAACATGTGAAAGTAAAGCCCATGGCAGAACTCCCTCCTCAGCACACGGGGAGCAGACAGGAAGCTGTTGCCTCACCTTCCTCAATGGCCTGCAGCCACGTCTCCCAGGTCAGTCTTAAGGACAACGAAACTCTGGTCTTCACTGTGGACACACCACACTACCAGGTGCTCCAAAGCCATGGTGACCCACCCTCGGGTGGGACCTGAGGAGAACAAAGCTCTGGTTCTAATTCTAACCCTAACCTTGTCCCAAGACTTTGACACTGAACCTAAATCTTGATCCCTATCCTGGTCCCTAATTCTGACCCTTACTTTGACCCTGACTTTGATCTCGACCCTGACCATGACCCCACCTCTAACCATACTTCTGGCCCTGACTCTGACCCAGATCCTAATCCTATCCCTAACCCTATTATTATCTTTACAATCTATGTCTAATCTTACCCTCTAGTGCTAAATAGCTGTACCCAAAAGCACTTTTAAATTATTTAACTTCTTTTCCTTGAATTCTCTAAGGACATCCTAAAGGAGATGTCAATATGTATTTTGCATTCCCTCTGAGTGGTATGGCTTCAGATAAGAAGTTCTAATACTTTGCAAGACATAAAAAGTTTGGAGGGTGACAGCACTGGGTTGTTAGGGATGCATGTTGGCATTCGTGGTAGTCATAGGTGCTGTTCTCCAGATATTTTCAGTTCATATTTTATGAATGCATTCTGACTGTTCCATCCCGCCTACTTACATTTTCACATGGCCACATGACTTTTTTTTTGCCAATGGAGGTGAGAAGAAATAACATGTGACTTTTTCAGGAGAAATCTCCAAGAAACAGAGTGCTATTCCGCATACTTTTTTCTCTTTTCTATAGCAATGGGGATCTTATTGATTGTCCCTCCTTCCGTCTGGATTCCTGTGTTAGGATGACACAGCACAGAGCTACCTCTCACCTGACCCATGATGAAATGTAAATAAATGAGGAAGAAGATTTTTGAGCCACTGAAATTTGGAGGTTGTTTGTCACCACAGTTTAACCTAGCCCCCATTTACTGATGCACGGCTGAAGAATGAGTCCGAACTGGATCTGGACAAGACATGTGAAGAGCGCTCCAGGCTGAGTAAAATTCAAGTGTTGTCTCAAAGATAACACTGAGCACGATATGTTATTGGGGTGGGTGTGGGATAAATAAGGTATATCAGGTGAGAATAACAAGAAACTCAACTTTAAAAGACGGTGCCGATTTGGAAGACACCAAATTGGAAGACAGCAGGAGCTGCCCCATAATACCAGTAAAGTGAGAAGCAGAGATAAACTAGTCCTAGACAGCTGACTCATGTTGGGGGCAGCCCACTCACAGTGGCCCTGACCCAACTCTGACTAGAGGCCACTTGATCTCAACACCAGGGTGCTCAATGGCCCGTCCTGGTACTCTGCTCTACACTGGTTGTAGGAAGGAATCTGCAGGTTGAAATAAGGAGATCATTTCCCTGAGGTTCCGAAGCTCATATTTACTCACCATTTGTTGTTTACTGCTAATGTTGAGCACTGTCAGTAAAATACATAAAACCCTTTGCCAATCCAGGAAGTGAAAATGACACTTTACTGTTTTAATTTGCATTTCTCTGCTTACAAGTGGATTACACACATTTTCATGTGCTGTTGGCTACTTATTCATTCAGAAAACATACTAAGTGCTGGCTCTTTTTCATGTCCTTTATCAAGTTTGGATCATGTCATTTGCTATTTTCTTTCTGATGTAAACTCTCAAAGTCTGAAGTGTATTGTCTTTTCCTGACACATATGTTGTAAATAATTTTCTGGCTTACATTTTGACTTTTAATTTCATTCACGATGTTTTTAATGAATAATTTTAATTTTTATGAATGCAAGTTAAAATAATTCTTTCATTGTGGTCTCTGACATGTCATGCCAATAAGGGTCTTCTCCTCCAAGAGCACAGAAATATTTGCCAATACTGTCCTTAAAATCGGTCACAGTTTCATTTTTTATATATGCATTTTACTTCAATTGGGGCTTCATTTTACTGAATGCCCTATTTGAAGCAAGTTTCTCAGTTAATTCTTTTCTCAAAGGGCTAAGTATGGTAGATTGCAAACATAAGTGGCCACATAATGCTCTCACCTCCTTTGCCTCCTCTCCCAGGAGGAGATAGCGTCCATCTTTCCACTCCTTAATCTGGGCTTGGCCGTGTGACTTGCACTGGCCAATGGGATATTAACAAGTCTGATGTGCACAGAGGCTGTAGAATGTGCACGGGGGCTTGGTCTCTCTTGCTGCCCTGGAGACCAGCTGCCCCACGAAGGAACCAGAGCCAACCTGCTGCTTCCTGGAGGAAGACAGTCCCTCTGTCCCTCTGTCTCTGCCAACCAGTTAACCTGCTGCTTCCTGGAGGGAGACAGTCCCTCAGTCCCTCTGTCTCTGCCAACCAGTTAACCTGCTGCTTCCTGGAGGAAGACAGTCACTCTGTCTCTGCCAACCCAGTTGACCGCAGACACGCAGGTCTGCTCAGGTAAGACCAGCACAGTCCCTGCCCTGTGAGCCAAACCAAACGGTCCAGCCACAGAATCGTGAGCAAATAAGTGATGCTTAAGTCACTAAGATTTGGGCAAAAGCTGAGCATTTATCCCAATCCCAATACTGTTTGTCCTTCTGTTTATCTGTCTGTCCTTCCCTGCTCATTTAAAATGCCCCCACTGCATCTAGTACATTTTTATAGGATCAGGGATCTGCTCTTGGATTAATGTTGTGTTCCCACCTCGAGGCAGCTTTGTAAGCTTCTGAGCACTTCCCAATTCCGGGTGACTTCAGGCACTGGGAGGCCTGTGCATCAGCTGCTGCTGTCTGTAGCTGACTTCCTTCACCCCTCTGCTGTCCTCAGCTCCTTCAACCCTGGGCCTCAGGAAATCAATGTCATGCTGACATCACTCTAGATCTAAAAGTTGGGTTCTTGGACCAGGCGTGGTGGCTCACACCAGTAATCCCAGCACTTTGGGAGGCCGAGGCAGGCAGATTAAGAGGTCAGGAGTTCAAGACCAGCCTGTCCAACATGACAAAGCCCCATCTCTACTAAAAATACAAAAATTAGCCGGGTGTGGTGGCACACACCTGTAGTCCCAGCTACTTGGGAGGCTGAGGCAGGAGAATCGCTTGAACCCAGGAGGCGGAGGTTGGAGTGCAATGTGAGCCGAGACCACACATTACACTCCAGCCTGGGTGACAGAGCATGACTCTGTCTCAAAAAGAAAAAAAAAAGAGACAGAGAAAAGAAAGCCAACAAGACACCATTAAGCAAACCATTGTCAGGTTATGGGAGTTTGAGAAGGAAAGTAGAGAAAGGAGAATAAAGCTTATTTAAAGAATGGCTGACAACTGCCTAAATCATGGGAAAGATTTAGACATCTAAATCCATGAAGCTTAAAGATTCCTAAAGAGGTTCAAACCAAATAGATACTCACCAAGTCACAATATAATCAAATAGTCAAAAGTTAAAGAAACTTTGCAGGTCAGGACAGAATCGAATAATACATTCAAAGTGCTGAAAGAAAAAAACTGCCAGCAACTAATACTATGTCTGACAAAGCTGTCCTTCAGAAAGGAAAAAGAAATAACGTGTTTCCTCGACAAACAAAGCTGAGGGCATTCAGGACCACTAGGTCTACCTTAAAAAAATGCTTAACGGAGTTTTTCAAGTAAAAATGAATGAAGTTGGGAGTGGTGGCTCATGCCTGTAATCCCATTTTGGGAGGCTGAGGTGGGTGGATCACCTGAGGTCGGGAGGTCAAGACCAGCCTGGCCAACATGGCAAAACCCCACCTCCAGTAAAAATACAAAAAATTAGCCAGGTATGAAGGCCACTGAGATCGTGCCACTGCACTCCAGCCTGGGTGACAAGAGTCAAACTACATTTCAAAAACAAAAAACAAAACAAACAAAAAAAACAAAACTTGAGGCCTGGCCTTCTGCTCCTCTCCAACCTCCCCTTCTCTGGGCCCAAGCCACCTTGGCTGAGGAGGGGGTGAGGAGGTGTGAGCCCCTGCCAGGAACCCCCCGCCCGGACCAAGTGCTCGGCCCCCAGGCCTGCGTTCAGTGAGGCCTCCCGTGGCGTCAGCATGTTCGTGTGGAGGAATGTGGAAGGTCACTCTGCGGCCGTGTTCTCCTGGTACTCCATCCCCTTCCTGACCCCTCCCTGCAGCCACACGAGGCCCAGCAACCTGCCAGTCACTCAGTGGCCTCCAACCAGAGAAAACAACCTGCCAAGTTGGCAGCCGTTGCTCATGAGCGTCCACCAGGTGGGACAGGGAGTGTTGACCCTGGGCGGCCCCCTGGAGCCACCTGCCCTGAAAGCCCAGGGCCCGCAACCCCACACACTTTGGGGGTGGTGGAACCTGGTAAAAGCTCACCTCCCACCATGGAGGAGGAGCCCTGGGCCCCTCAGGGGAGTCCCTGCTGGACAGTGAGACAGAGAATGACCATGATGATGCTTTCCTCTCCATCATGTCTCCTGACACCCAGTTGCCTCTACCACTCAGATGATGTCAGGCCCAGTCCCTCAGTGCCCTGCGCAAGGAACAGGACTCATCTTCTGAGAAGGATGGACGCAGCCCCAACAAATCGGACAAGGACCACATCCGGTGGCCCATGAGTGGCGCTCATGATCTTCAGCAGGCGGCACCAGGCCCTGGCGGGGCGCACCAGGGTCACCCCAACCAGGATAACCGGACCGTCAGCCAGATGCTGAGCGAGCGGTGGTACACCCTGGGGCCCAATGAGATGCAGAAATACAACCTGGCCTTCCAGGTGAAGGTGGCCCACTTGCAACAAGGACCAAAAGAAGTCCAGCTCAGAGGCCAAGCCCACAAGCCAGGGGCTAGCAGGAGTGTAACAAGGGCTCGTGGGAGCGGAGCATATCAGAGACGGGCACTGCCACTGCCCCTGGGGTGTCCTCTGAACTCCTGTCAGTTGCAGCCCAAACACTCCAGAGCTCGGATACCAAGGAGCAGCTTCTGTGGGGCAGAACGGCTGCACACAGTCAGGGAACCTGGCTCAGCCTGGCCCAAGCCTTCTCCCACAGCGGGGTACACAGCCTGGACGGCAGGGAAATAGACCGTCAGGCACTACGGGAACTGACACAGGTGGTGTCTGGCACTGCATCATACTCTGGCCCAAAGCCTTCTACTCAGCATGGAGCTCCAGGCCACTTTGCAGCCCCTGGTGAGGGAGGTGACCCGTGGGCAGCCCTGCTGCCGCCCACGTGAGCTGCTCATTCCCAGCACATGGCCAGCGAGGTCATAGCGAGTGACGAAGAGCACACGGTCATCCATGAGGAGGAGGGGGTGATGATGTCATTGCTGATGATGGCTTTAGCACCACCAACACCGATCTCAAGTTCAAGGAGTGGGTGACCGACTGAGAGTGGGGACAACTCTGGGGAGGAGCCAGAGGGCAACAAGGGCTTTGGTGGGAAGGTATTTGCACCTGTCATTCCTTCCTCCTTTACTCCTGCCGCCCCTTGCTGGATCCTGAGCCCCCAGGGTCCCCCGATCCACCTGCAGCTTTTGGCAGTCTATGGTCACACCCTGTCCTCCTCCTACACATACTCGGATGCTTCCTCCCCAACCTTGGCACCCACCTCCTTCTTACTGGGCCCAGGAGCCTTCAAAGCCCAGGAGTCTGGTCAACGCAGCAGAGCGGGCCCCCTACGGCCCCAACCCCTGGGGATGGGGGCCCAGGGACACCTTCCAAGGTGGCCTGTTTCCTCCCAATGGATCCTGCCACCTTCTGGTGCAAGAGACCTGAAAGTGTGGGTGACCTGGAGCTACCAGGCTCCTCAGTCATCAGGGTCCCTCCCAACACTAAGGCTTTCCTAGGCAGGAGCTGGGCTGAGCCACCCGGGGAGCAGAGCCTGAAGAGAAACTGACTGGGCTTTCGGGGTCGGGGCAGAGGGAACCCCACGGACATGGATCCCACACTGGAGGACCCCACCGCGCCCAAATGCAAGATGAGAAGATGCTCCAGCTGCAGTCCAAAGCCCAACACCCCCAAGTGTGCCATGTGTGATGGGGACAGCTTCCCCTTTGCCTGTACAGGTGGAGAAGCCGAGGACAGGCTCAGGGAACCGGAGACCGAGAAGGCGCTGTCCTCTTCACTGCACGTACCCTGGACCAGTGCCGGCCCTGATCATGCAGCTCTTCCAGGCCCACTGCTTCTTCCTGTCCACTAGGCCACAGCCGCCCTCCAGGCCCACTATGCACACATCTTCCCCTCCAAGGTTTGTTCTGCCCCTGCCCTGACTCCCAGCCCTGTGGGGGTCCTGACCGCAACTCACCTGGCTCAGACTCTTGACGCTGCCCTGGCTGCCCCACCACTGCTTCTGCCCGAGAGTCACGTGAGGCTGAGAGTAGGGGCAGGGGCAGCAGTGGTGCCAGTTGGGGGGCGGTCCAGTGGGAGGAGCCTCAGCCTCGCGGGCTGCTCCGTGGGACTGATGACTGCATGATCTTCTGGGCACCTCACGGATCTTCAACTGCAGGTGAAACGGATGCTGGTGGTGGGTGCAGGGCCGCTGGGAGCTGCTGCATGGTTCCCAGAGGCTGGACTGAGGCAGGTGCCAACTGAAGCTGCTGGGGCAGCATGGGCAGGATGTTCTGCACACAAACCTTGGAGAAGAAGATGTGTGCATAGCAGGTCCACTGCTGCTGCCCCTGCCCTGACTCCCAGCCCTGCCTGACCCCACCTCAACCTGCTCAGGCTCTGGCACAACCCTGGCTGCCCTGCCACTGCCTCTGCCCCAGAGTTGGGGCCTTGACAGCCTGGTTGGAAGGGGACACCCCAGCCCTGCCTCAACACCTGGGGGTCTCCATAACTACCACAGGCAGGTGGGCAACCCCAAAGATCCCAGGACTCACAGTACCCCCTGAGAACATGGACAGTATGTGGGGGTAGCAATGGAGGGCAGGATGGTTATCTTCTCCCAGGTGAAGCCATTTAATCCTTTCAGTTTGGGATGGAGTAAGGCCTTCCTCTTTTTTTTTTTTTTTTTTTTTTTTTTTTGAGACCGAGTCTTGCTCTGTCGCCCAGGCTGGAGTGCAGTGGTGCGATCTTGGCTCACTGCAACCTCTTCCAGCCGGGTTCACGCCATTCTCCTGCCTCAGCCTTCCGGGTAGCTAGGATTACAGGTGGACGCTACCACGTCCGGCTAATTTTTGTATTTTTAGTACAGACGGGG
Source organism: Homo sapiens (assembly GCF_000001405.40). NCBI lineage: Eukaryota > Metazoa > Chordata > Mammalia > Primates > Hominidae > Homo > Homo sapiens. The sequence continues at coordinate 25,372 of NT_187500.1, read as the reverse complement.
CTTCATCATCTTGGCCAGGCTGATTTCGATCTCCTGACATCGTGATCTGCCTGCCTCCCCCTCCCAAAGTGCTGGGATTACAGGCGTGAGCCACCACGCCTGGCCAAGGCCTGCTCCTCTTATCTATACCCCCTACCCCTGCAGCTGTGCCGGGGGAAAGCTGGGCAGTTTCCCTCCTCCGAGCCCCTGTACATACCATGAATTGTGGGACCTTCAGAGCTTTTCATTTTTCGGAAAATAGCTCCTGCTGGGGCTACAAGATGGAGTGTGAAGAGGGCCTTGGGCCACAGGGAGGCGCCTGTGGACTAGGGGGAGTTCATGCACCCCTTCTTTCCCCAGAGGGGCTGGACTCAGGTGAGTATGGGGGTGGGGGCTCCTGCACTTCGACACAGGCAGCGGGAGGGTTTTCTCCCCATTCCCTCTGCACTCCCAACTTGAGCTATACTTTTTAAGAAAGTGATTCACCCTGCCTTTGCCCCCTTCCCCAGAACAGAACACGTCGATCGTGGGCGATATTTTTCATTGTGCCAAAAAGTTGCCATGACCGTCATTAAACCTGTTTAACACCAAATAATAAGGAAAATAAAATAAAAAATTCGGGCTTGGCGCAGAAACTCACTCCAAATAAATTACCTACCAAAATATTTACATAATGGTGGAAATATTCCAAAATTCAATATTTTGGGATTTATACACAAAAGATAAACAAATTAGAGGCCAAGAGGCTGCCGGAAGGGAAAAACGGGGCCTGGAATGGCCGACGTGAGGAATGAGCTGGGCCTAAAGAGGCCACTGGCAGGCAGGAGCTGGACCTGCCGAAGTGGCCGAAAGGCAGGAGCTTTGGACTGGGGAGGCCGCAGTGAGGCGAGAGCTAGCTGGGCGTGGAGAGTCCGCTGTGAGGCCGAGGCCGAGGCCGGGCCCGTGCAGGCCTTCGAGAGGCAGGAGGCCGGGCCTGCAAAGGCCGACTGGAGATCAAGTTCTGCACCTGAAGAGGCTGCCAAAAGTCAAAAGCGGGGCCTGGGAAGGCCGCCAAGAGCCATGAGCTGGGCTGGGCCGAAAGAGGCCACTGGGAGGCAGGAGGAGCTGGGCCTGGAGAGGCTGACTCGAGGAAGTTTTGCACCTGGAGAGGCCGTCGAGAGGACAGAGCTGGGCCCAGGGAGGCCGACTTGCTGCTCTTCCAGGCCCACTTCCAGGCCGACTTGAGGACGACTTGGGCCTGCAGAGGCCGCCGGGAGGCTGGAGCTAAGCCTGGAGAGACTGACTTCGGGATGATTTGGGCCTGCGAAGGCCGCCGGGAGGCCCAAGCTGGGCCTAGAGGAGCCCACCGACCGGAGGCCATTTGGGGCCTGCAGATGTCATCGGAGGGCCAGGAGCTGAGCCTGGAGAGGCCACCACGAGGCCTGAGCTGGGCCTGGGGAGCTTGGCTTAGGGAAGTTGTGGGCCTACCAGGGCCGCTGGGAGCTGGGCAGGAGCTGAGTCCAAAGACGTTGTTGGGACCTGGAGTCGGGCCAGAGTCCGGCCTGGAGATGCAGCCGGGAGGAAGAGCTGGGCCCGGAGGGGGCGCCGGGAGGCTGCAAGTGGGTCTGAGAGGCCAACTTGAGGAGGCCTGGCCTCTGCCTCCCGCATTGCCCAGCTGTTCCTCCTGGCTGCATCTCCCACCTCCCAGCAAACAAGCTCTTTTGGCTCAGCTCCCGCCTGCGTTTGTAGACCCCGAAGTTTCTGCAACCAAGCTCTTCAGACCCACATCCCTTCTCCCAGTCACTGAACAGTCCCAGCTCCGGCTGGAGAAGGGCGTCTGCAGACCCCGCTGTTGCCTCCCAGGGGAGTCTCCAGGCCCAGCTCTCGCCCCACCGCGACCTCCCAGGCCCAAGTCCCTGCCTACCTCCCAGCAGCCCGAGTGCGATCCTGTTCCTCCCTCACGGTGGCCTGTTGAGGCAGGGGGTCACGCTGACCTCTGTCTGCGTGGGAGGGGCCGGTGTGAGGCAAGGGCTCACACTGACCTCTCTCAGCGTGGGAGGGGCCGGTGTGAGGCAAGGGGCTCACGCTGACCTCTGTCCGCGTGGGAGGGGCCGGTGTGAGGCAAGGGCTCACACTGACCTCTCTCAGCGTGGGAGGGGCCGGTGTGAGGCAAGGGGCTCACGCTGACCTCTGTCCGCGTGGGAGGGGCCGGTGTGAGGCAAGGGCTCACACTGACCTCTCTCAGCGTGGGAGGGGCCGGTGTGAGGCAAGGGGCTCAGGCTGACCTCTGTCCGCGTGGGAGGGGCCGGTGTGAGGCAAGGGCTCACACTGACCTCTCTCAGCGTGGGAGGGGCCTGTGTGAGGCAAGGGGCTCACGCTGACCTCTGTCCGCGTGGGAGGGGCCGGTGTGAGGCAAGGGCTCACGCTGACCTCTCTCAGCGTGGGAGGGGCCAGTATGAGGCAAGGGCTCAGGCTGACCTCTGTCCGCGTGGGAGGGGCCGGTGTGAGGCAAGGGCTCACGCTGACCTCTCTCAGCGTGGGAGGGGCCGGTGTGAGGCAAGGGGCTCGGGCTGACCTCTCTCAGCGTGGGAGGGGCCGGTGTGAGGCAAGGGGCTCACGCTGACCTCTGTCCGCGTGGGAGGGGCCGGTGTGAGACAAGGGGCTCGGGCTGACCTCTCTCAGCGTGGGAGGGGCCGGTGTGAGGCAAGGGGCTCGGGCTGACCTCTCTCAGCGTGGGAGGGGCCAGTGTGAGGCAAGGGCTCACACTGACCTCTCTCAGCATGGGAGGGGCCGGTGTGAGACAAGGGGCTCGGGCTGACCTCTGTCCGCGTGGGAGGGGCCGGTGTGAGGCAAGGACTCACACTGACCTCTCTCAGCATGGGAGGGGCCGGTGTGAGACAAGGGGCTCACACTGACCTCTGTCCGCGTGGGAGGAGCCGGTGTGAGGCAAGAGCTCACACTGACCTCTCTCAGCGTGGGAGGGGCCGGGGTGAGGCAAGGGGCTCACGCTGACCTCTGTCCACGTGGGAGGGGCCGGGGTGAGGCAAGGGCTCACACTGACCTCTCTCAGCGTGGGAGGGGCCAGTGTGAGGCAAGGGGCTCACGCTGACCTCTGTCCGCGTGGGAGGGGCCGGTGTGAGGCAAGGGCTCACACTGACCTCTCTCAGCGTGGGAGGAGCCGGTGTGAGACAAGGGGCTCACGCTGACCTCTGTCCGCGTGGGAGGGGCCGGTGTGAGGCAAGGGCTCACACTGACCTCTCTCAGCGTGGGAGGGGCCGGTGTGAGGCAAGGGGCTCACGCTGACCTCTGTCCACGTGGGAGGGGCCGGGGTGAGGCAAGGGCTCACACTGACCTCTCTCAGCGTGGGATGGGCCGGTGTGAGGCAACGGGCTCACGCTGACCTCTGTCCGCGTGGGAGGGGCCGGTGTGAGGCAAGGGCTCACACTGACCTCTCAGCGTGGGAGGGGCCGGTGTGAGGCAAGGGGCTCACGCTGACCTCTGTCCACATGGGAGGGGCCGGGGTGAGGCAAGGGCTCACACTGACCTCTCTCAGCGTGGGAGGGGCCGGTGTGAGGCAAGGGGCTCACGCTGACCTCTGTCTGCGTGGGAGGGGCCGGTGTGAGGCAAGGGCTCACACTGACCTCTCTCAGCGTGGGAGGGGCCAGTGTGAGGCAGGGGCTCACGCCTCTGGGCAGGGTACCAGAGGCATGAGTTGGGCATCAACAGGCCACCGTGAGGGAGGAGCTGGGCCACACGCGGGCTGCTGGGAGGCAGGCAGGGACTTGGCCCCGGGAGGCCGCCGTGGGGGCAAGAGCTGGGCCTGGAGAGGCCCCTGGGAGGCAAGGGTGGGGCCTGCAGAGGCTGTTCTCCAACCAGTGCTAGAACTGTACAGGCCACCAGGAGGCAGGAGGTGGGCCCTCAGAGCTTGGCTGGAGAAAGTTCGGGGCCTACAAAGGCGGCTGGGAGCTGGGCAGGAGTTGAGCCAAAAGAGCTTGCTTACTTGCTGGGAGGCAGGGCCGGGAGAGCCCGACTTCAGGACAACTTGGGCCTGCGGCGGTCGCCGGGAGGCCCAACCTTGGCGTGGAGGAGCCCACCGACCGGAGACCATTTGGGGCCTGGAGATGCCATCGGAGGGCAGGAGCTCATCCTGGAGAGGCCACCGTGAGGCCTGACCTGGGCCTGGGGAGCTTGGCTTGAGGAAGCTGTGGGCCGACCAAGGCCGCCAGGAGATGGGTAGGCACTGAGTCCAAAGAGGTTGTTGAGAGGCAGGAATCGGGCCTGGAGACCCAACCAGGAAGAAGAGCTGGGCCCGGAGAGGACGCCCGGAGGGTGCAAGTGGGTCTGGAGAGGCCGACTTGAGGAGGTTCTGGGCCCAGGGAGGCCGCCGGAAGGGAAAAACTGGGCCTGGAAAGGCCGTTGTCAGGAATGAGCCCCATGGGCCTGAAGAGGCCACTGGCAGGCGGGAGCTGGGCCTGCCGAAGCGGCCGAGAGGCAGGAGCTTTGGACTCGGGAGGCCGCAGTGAAGCAACAGCTAGCTGGGCGTGGAGAGTCCGCTGTGAGGCAGAGGCTGGGCCTGTGCAGGCCTTCGGGAGGCAGGAGGCTGGGCCTTGTCGAGGCCTGCAGAGGCCACCGAAAGTCAAAAGCGGGGCTTGGGAAGGCTGCCGGGAGGCATGAGCTGGGCTGGGCCGAAAGAGGCCACTGGGAGGCAGGAGGAGCTGGGCCTGGAGAGGCTGCCGAAAGGCAGGAGCTTCGCCTGAGGATGCCACAGTGAGACACCATCTGGGTCTGGAGGGTCCACTGTGAGGCAGAGGCTGACCTGTAGAGTCCGACAGTAGACAGAAGTTGGGCAAAAGGCTGATTTGAGGAAGTTTTGGGCTTCAAGAGTCAGCCACGAGGCAGGCACTAGGCCTGGAAATGGCCTCACAGTCATGAGTTGGGCCTAAATGGGCCACTGTGAGGGAGGAGCTGTGCCTGTTGAGGCTGCTGGCAGGCAGGCAGAAATTTGGCCTGGGGCAGCTGCCATGAGGCAAGAGCTGGGCCTGGAAAAAGCCCCTGGGAGGCAAGAGCAGGGCCTGCAGAGGCTGTTCTCAAGTCAAAGCTGGGCCTGTTGATGCCACCGGGAAGCAGAAGGTGGGCCTGGAGAGTTTGACTTGAGGAAGTTTTGGGCCTACATTGGCCGCCATGAGCTGGACAGGAACTGGGCCAAAAAAGGCTGTTGTGAGGCAGCAGTTGTGCCTGTAGACCCAGCCAAGAGGAAGAGGTGGGCCTGGAGAAGCCCCCATGAGGCAGAGGTTGGGCCTGTAGACGCTGACAGGAGGCAGGAGCTGGGCCTGGACAGGTCAACTTGAGGAGATTTTGGGCCTTCATAGGCCACCAGGAGGCAGCAGTTGGGACTAGAGAGTCTGACTTGAGTAAGTTTTGGGCCCGGAGATGACGTCCTGGGACAGGAGTTGGGCGTGGAGAGGCCACCGTGAGGCATAAGCTGGATGTAGAGAGGCCAGTGTGAGGCAAGACCTGGGCCTGTCTAGGCTGCTGGGAGACAGGCAGGAATCTGGCCAGGGAAGGTTGCCATGAGACAAAAGTTGGGCCTGGAAAGGCCCTTGTGAAGCATGAGCTTGGCCTAAAGAGGCCACTGGGTGGCAGGAGCTGGGTGTGTAGAAGCTGCTGAAAGGTTGGGAGCTTGGCTTGGGGGGTCCACAGTGAGGTAGATGCTGGGCGTGAAGAATCTGCTGTGAGGCAGACGTTGGGACTGTAGAGGCTGACAGGAGGCAGAGGCTGGGCCTGGAGGGGCCACCAAGATGCATGAGCTGGGCCTGGTGAGGTCGACTTGAGAAAGTTCAGGGCCTGGAGAGAAGGCTGGGAGGCAGGAGCTGGGTCTAAAGAGGCCATTGTAACGATGGAGCTGTGCCTGTGGAGGCTGTTGTGAGGCAGTAGCCTCATCTGCGGAGGCTGCCGTGACGTAGGGTATGGGCCTAAATAGGCCATTGTGAGTCATGAGCTTGGTCTGTAGAGGCTGACTGGAGAAAGTTCTGGGCCTGGAGAGGCTGCCGGGAGGTAGGAGCTGGGCCAAAAGATGTAAGCACATTTGCATTTATTAGGCACTTTATTTCCATTATTACACTGTAATATATAATAAAATAATTATAGAACTCACCATAATGTAGAATTAGTGGGCATGTTAAGCTTTTTTCCTGCAACTGGATGGTCCCACCTGAGCGTGATGGGAGAAAGTGACAGATCAATAGGTATTAGATTCTCATAAGGACAGCGCAACCTCGATCCCTCACATGCACGGTTCACAACAGGGTGCGTTCTCCTATGAGCATCTAATGCTGCTGCTCATCTGAGAAGGTGGAGCTCAGGCGGGAATGTGAGCAAAGGGGAGTGGCTGTAAATACAGACGAAGCTTCCCTCACTCCCTCACTCGACACCGCTCACCTCCTGCTGTGTGGCTCCTTGCGGCTCCATGGCTCAGGGGTTGGGGACCCCTGCTCAAGTGCATCCAAAGCGACCCTTCCCACACCAGTCTTCACAGTGGTCAAGGGCAGCAACCACTTAGCTCCCAAGGCATGTGCCTCAGCTGGCATTTCGTCACAATCAACAGTAAGTGGTAGCTTGAGTCACTGTGAGGTCACCTATTGGAAATCACCAGCACCCCATTTCCCACTGGCAAAGAGCTCAGCACTGCCCCCTGGGAAACCAAACCTATGCCCAAATCCCATCTGTGTGGGTTTACCTCCTGGGACCCTTCCTAACATATTAGTCAGAGTCCAATCAGGAAGCATAAACCACTCAAAAGTTTAAAGTGGTAAAATTTAATACAGAGAATTATTCATTATAACAGGTGAACAGCATAATGAGAGATTGGCTAGCACAGAGTAAAGAGAACTCTAGAGAATATGGGACTAGCCCAGGCCAGGCATGGTGGCTCATGCCTGAAATTCCAGCCATTACAGAAGCTAATGCAGGAGGATTGCTTAAGGCCAGGAGCTAGAGACCGCTCTGGACGACACAGTGAGACCCTGTCTCTATCCAAAAGAAGAAAAAAGTTAGCTGGGGGTGGTGGTGCACACTTGTAGTCCCAGCTACTCGGAATGCGGAAGTTTGAGCCTGGGAGGTCAAGGCTGCAGTGAGGCATGATTATGCCACTACAGTCCAGCCTGGTGACAGAGCAAGACCCTGTCTCAAAGAACAAAACCACAACAACCATTTACAGACAGAAAAGAAATAGAGCTAATAAGCTGAGGAAAGATGTTGAAATGTGACAAGTAAAGTAATATGAGGTCTTTTGTCTATTTAAAATAATCAAACAAAAAATGGCTTACGAAATTATAATACCCTGTGCTGGCAAAGGTGCAGTGAAATGGGCACTTTCTTATACTATGAGGGGTGGTTAAATTGTGTATAAGCCTTCCAGGGTAAAGCCTGTCAATTTTTTAAAATAATGGAGACAGGGTCTCACCATACTGCCATACTGCCTCCTCCAACTCTTGGCCTCAAGCAATCCTCCTCTCTTAGCCTCCCAAAGTGCTAAGATTATAGCTGGGAGGCACCCAAAACCCTGTCAATTTACATCAAGGGTAAGGAGAATGTCCATTCACCATGACTCACAGTAATCTTACTTCTGGGGAGACAATTCAATCTAAGCAACAGGTCATCTGTACACACACAGTAAAAATCTGGGAGTAACTGAAGACAGAGTTGGTAAGTGAAATAAGAAACACTTATAAGAAATTAAACTATGGTATCAATAGGCACCTGGTAAAAGGTCAGTTGATGTTAGCTGCCACTTTTTTGTTGTTTTGAGACAGGGTCTCACTCTGTCACCCAGGCTGGAGTGCAGAGGCCTGATCATGACTCACTGCAGTCTCAGCCTCCCTGGGCTCAAGTGATCCTCCCACCTCAGCCTCCCAAGTAGCTGGGACTACAGGAACATGCCACCACACTAGGCTAATTCATGTATTTTTCTGTAGGGATGGTGACTCCCCCTTTGTTTCCAAGGCCTATCGCAAACTCTTGGCCTCAAGCCATCCTCCTGCCTCAGCCTCCCAAAGTGTTGCGATTACCAGTGTGAGCCACCACACCTGGCCAGCTGCTACTTTTATCAATATTATTCTTATTCCACTCAATTAAAAATTATTATTTTCAAGGCTATGCAACAGTATGTATCCTACAGCGTAATTGTAAAAACATACACAGTCGTCATCCCTCAGTATACAGAATTAGTTCCAGCCCCCCATCTCTGCATATACCAAAATCCATGCTTACCTCACGTTTCGCTGTCACCCCTCTAGAATCCACGTATACGAAAATTCCAAATGTTAGTTGGGCATAGTGGCAAGCACCTGTAGTCTCAGCCACGTGGGAGGCTGAGGTGGGAGGATCACTTCAGCCTGGAAGGTTGAGGCTGCAGTCAGCTGCGATAGCACTACTACACTCCAGCCTTGGACAACAGAGGGAGACCCTGTCTCAGAACAAAAAAAATAAATAAATAAAAAATAAAACAGGTTAGAAACTGTGATGAGGTCTGCTGGGCAAAATTCCATATAAGCAATGTATAAATTAATAAAGCAAATCGTGATAAATTAGTACGATTGACTTTCTGGAGTTTCTGACAATAAAAGTAAGGAAAATGCAGAACACAAAGACAGAGAGTAAAAAGAGAAATTAGGAAAGCATTCTACATGTTGAATAGGAAGACACTGGCCATGTTCGTGCAGCGGCAGTATGTCGTGACATGACATACCTTGGAGAGAAGTTAACAGATGAGGAAGTTGATAAAAATCATCAGAGAAGCAAAATACTGGTAGCGACACTCAAGTAAACCATGAAATTTCCATAACTTATGTCAGCAAAGTGGGAATATTGTACAGTGTGTGTTGAAGTTCCTATACAACATTGTTTATCTGCCTTTTGTTTGTTTTTAAGGAATGTATATACTAAAAGTTCTTCTTGCTGTCAAAAGAATATGTGTGAATAAGTCATTTTAACTTATTCTTCTGTTTTTCTTTTATCTTCCTGCCATCATCCCACAGCCTTACTTTAGAAATTTCTTTTTTAGAAAATTGAACAAGTGCTCCCTGTGGTGGCACATACCTCGAGGATGGGAGGCAGGGGTGGAAGGGTCACTTGAGGCCATTAGTTTGACACCAGCCTGGCCAACAAAGTGAGACCCCGTGTCTACAAAACAATTTAAAAATTAGCCAAGTATCGTCATATATACCTACAGTCCCAGCTACCTGAACTTACTGAGAAAGTTCAGAGCCTGGAGAGAAGGCTGGGAGGCAGGAGCTGGGTCTAAAGAGGCCATTGTAACGATGGAGCTGTGCCTGTGGAGGCTGTTGTGAGGCAGTAGCCTCATCTGCGGAGGCTGCCGTGACGTAGGGTATGGGCCTAAATAGGCCATTGAGAGTCATGAGCTTGGTCTGTAGAGGCTGACTGGAGAAAGTTCTGGGCCTGGAGAGGCTGCCGGGAGGTAGGAGCTGGGCCAAAAGATGTAAGCACATTTGCATTTATTAGGCACTTTATTTCCATTATTACACTGTAATATATAATAAAATAATTATAGAACTCACCATAATGTAGAATCAGTGGGCGTGTTAAGCTTGTTTTCCTGCAACTGGATGGTCCCACCTGAGCGTGATGGGAGAAAGTGACAGATCAATAGGTATTAGATTCTCATAAGGACAGCGCAACCTCGATCCCTCACATGCACGGTTCACAACAGGGTGCGTTCTCCTATGAGAATCTAACGCTGCTGCTCATCTGAGAAGGTGGAGCTCAGGCGGGAATGTGAGCAAAGGGGAGTGGCTGTAAATACAGACGAAGCTTCCCTCACTCCCTCACTCGACACCGCTCACCTCCTGCTGTGTGGCTCCTTGCGGCTCCATGGCTCAGGGGTTGGGGACCCCTGCTCAAGTGCATCCAAAGCGACCCTTCCCACACCAGTCTTCACAGTGGTCCAGGGCAGCAACCACTTAGCTCCCAAGGCATGTGCCTCAGCTGGCATTTCGTCACAATCAACAGTAAGTGGTAGCTTGAGTCACTGTGAGGTCACCTACTGGAAATCACCAGCATCCCATTTCCCACTGGCAAAGAGCTCAGCACTGCCCCCTGGGAAACCAAACCTATGCCCAAATCCCATCTGTGTGGGTTTACCTCCTGGGACCCTTCCTAACATATTAGTCAGAGTCCAATCAGGAAGCATAAACCACTCAAAAGTTTAAAGTGGTAAAATTTAATACAGAGAATTATTCATTATAACAGGTGAACAGCATAATGAGAGATTGGCTAGCACAAAGTAAAGAGAACTCTAGAGAATATAGGACTAGCCCAGGCCAGGCATGGTGGCTCAGGCCTGAAATTCCAGCAATTTGAGAAGCTAATGCAGGAGGATTGCTTAAGGCCAGGAGCTAGAGACCGGTCTGGACAACAGAGTGAGACCCTGTCTCTATCCAAAAGAAGAAAAAAGTTAGCTGGTGGTGGTAGTGCACACTTGTAGTCCCAGCTACTCGGAATGCGGAAGTTTGAGCCTGGGAGGTCAAGGCTGCAGTGAGGCATGATTATGCCACTACAGTCCAGCCTGGTGACAGAGCAAGACCCTGTCTCAAAGAACAAAACAACAACAACCATTTACAGACAGAAAAGAAATAGAGCTAATAAGCTGAGGAAAGATGTTGAAATGTGACAAGTAAAGTAATATGAGTTCTTTTGTCTATGTAAAATAATCAAACAAAAAATGACTTACTAAATTATAATACCCTGTGCTGGCAAAGGTGCAGTGAAATGGGCACCTTCTTATACTATGAGGGGTGTTTAAATTGTGTATAAGCCTTCCCGGGTAAAGCCTGTCAATTTTTTAAAATAATGGAGACAGGGTCTCACCATACTGCCATACTGCCTCCTCCAACTCTTGGCCTCAAGCAATCCTCCTCTCTTAGCCTCCCAAAGTGCTAAGATTATAGCTGGGAGGCACCCAAAACCCTGTCAATTTACATCAAGGGTAAGGAGAATGTCCATTCACCATGACTCACAGTAATCTTACTTCTGGGGAGACAATTCAATCTAAACAAAAGGTCATCTGTACACACACAGTAAAAATCTGGGAGTAACTGAAGACAGAGTTGGTAAGTGAAATAAGAAACAGTTATAAGAAATTAAACTATGGTATCAATAGGCACCTGGTAAAAGGTCAGTTGATGTTAGCTGCTACTTTTTTGTTGTTTTGAGACAGGGTCTCACTCTGTCACCCAGGCTGGAGTGCAGAGGCCTGATCATGACTCACTGCAGTCTCAGCCTCCCTGGGCTCAAGTGATCCTCCCACCTCAGCCTCCCAAGTAGCTGGGACTACAGGAACATGCCACCACACTAGGCTAATTCATGTATTTTTCTGTAGGGATGGTGACTCCCCCTTTATTTCCAAGGCCTATCGCAAACTCTTGGCCTCAAGCCATCCTCCTGTCTCAGCCTCCCAAAGTGTTGCGATTACCAGTGTGAGCCACCACACCTGGCCAGCTGCTACTTTTATCAATATTATTCTTATTCCACTCAATTAAAAATTATTATTTTCAAGGCTATGCAACAGTATGTATCCCACAGCGTAATTGTAAAAACATATACAGTCGTCGTCCCTCAGTATACAGAATTAGTTCCAGCCCCCCATCTCTGCATATACCAAAATCCATGCTTACTCACGTTTTGCTGTCACCCCTCTGGAATCCACGTATACGAAAATTCCAAATGTTAGTTGGGCATAGTGGCAAGCACCTGTAGTCTCAGCCACGTGGGAGGTTGAGGTGGGAGGATCGTTTCAGCCTGGAAGGTTGAGGCTGCAGTCAGCTGCGATAGCACTACTACACTCCAGCCTTGGACAACAGAGGGAGACCCTGTCTCAGAAAAAAAAACAAAATAAAACAGGTTAGAAATTGTAATGAGGTCTGCTGGGCAAAATTCCATATAAGCAATGTATAAATTAATAAAGCAAATCGTGATAAATTAGTACGATTGACTTTCTGGAGTTTCTGACAATAAAAGTAAGGAAAATGCAGAACACAAAGACAGAGAGTAAAAAGAGAAATTAGGAAAGCATTCTACATGTTGAATAGGAAGACACTGGCCATGTTCGTGCAGCGGCAGTATGTCGTGACATGACATACCTTGGAGAGAAGTTAACAGATGAGGAAGTTGATAAAAATCATCAGAGAAGCAAAATACTGGTAGCGACACTCAAGTAAACCATGAAATTTCCATAACTTATGTCAGCAAAGTGGGAATATTGTACAGTGTGTGTTGAAGTTCCTATACAACATTGTTTATCTGCCTTTTGTTTGTTTGTAAGGAATGTACATACTAAAAGTTCTTCTTGCTGTCAAAAGAATATGCGTGAATAAGTCATTTTAACTTATTCTTCTGTTTTTCTTTTATCTTCCTGCCATCATCCCACAGCCTTACTTTAGAAATTTTTTTTTTAGAAAATTGAACAAGTGCTCCTTGTGGTGGCACATGCCTCGAGGATGGGAGGCAGGGGTGGAAGGGTCACTTGAGGCCATTAGTTTGACACCAGCCTGGCCAACAAAGTGAGACCCCGTGTCTACAAAACAATTTAAAAATTAGCCAAGTATCATCATGTATACCTACAGTCCCAGCTACCTGAACTTACTGAGAATGTTCAGGGCCTGGAGAGAAGGCTGGGAGGCAGGAGCTGGGTCTAAAGAGGCCATTGTAACGATGGAGCTGTGCCTGTGGAGGCTGTTGTGAGGCAGTAGCCTCATCTGCGGAGGCTGCCGTGACGTAGGGTATGGGCCTAAATAGGCCATTGAGAGTCATGAGCTTGGTCTGTAGAGGCTGACTGGAGAAAGTTCTGGGCCTGGAGAGGCTGCCGGGAGGTAGGAGCTGGGCCAAAAGATGTAAGCACATTTGCATTTATTAGGCACTTTATTTCCATTATTACACTGTAATATATAATAAAATAATTATAGAACTCACCATAATGTAGAATCAGTGGGCGTGTTAAGCTTGTTTTCCTGCAACTGGATGGTCCCACCTGAGCGTGATGGGAGAAAGTAACAGATCAATAGGTATTAGATTCTCATAAGGACAGCGCAACCTCGATCCCTCACATGCACGGTTCACAACAGGGTGCATTCTCCTATGAGAATCTAACGCTGCTGCTCATCTGAGAAGGTGGAGCTCAGGCGGGAATGTGAGCAAAGGGGAGTGGCTGTAAATACAGACGAAGCTTCCCTCACTCCCTCACTCGACACCGCTCACCTCCTGCTGTGTGGCTCCTTGCGGCTCCATGGCTCAGGGGTTGGGGACCCCTGCTCAAGTGCATCCAAAGCGACCCTTCCCACACCAGTCTTCACAGTGGTCCAGGGCAGCAACCACTTAGCTCCCAAGGCATGTGCCTCAGCTGGCATTTCGTCACAAACAACAGTAAGTGGTAGCTTGAGTCACTGTGAGGTCACCTCCTGGAAATCACCAGCATCCCATTTCCCACTGGCAAAGAGCTCAGCACTGCCCCCTGGGAAACCAAACCTATGCCCAAATCCCATCTGTGTGGGTCTACCTCCTGGGACCCTTCCTAACATATAACCTTCATAACATACTTGAGAGGCTGAGGTGAGACAATCGATTTAGCCCAGGAGTTTGAGATCAGCCTGGACGACATAACTAAATCTCATCTCTACAAGGACGAGGTGGGAGGATCACTTGAGCCCAGGAATTTGTGGCCAGCCTGGGCAACAAAAGAAGACCCCATCTGGCCAACATGGCCAACCTGGCCACCACGGTGAAACTCTGACTCTACAAAAATGATCTGGGCATGGGTGACATGCATGTGTAGTCCTAGCTACTTGGGAGGTTGAGATGGGAGGATTGCTTGATCTCAGAAGGCCAAAGCTATAGTGAGCTATGATCACATCACTGCACTCCAGCCTGGATGGCACAGGGAGATTCTGTCTCAAAAAAAAGAAAAGAAATATATATTTAATCTCTGTCCCTGGTTCCTGGCACAGAGCTTCTAAAGCTCTTACAAAGACCTCAGTGATAGATGTGACAGGAGCATCTTTTGTTTTAATATTTGGTCTTGGTCCCAGGTTTCTAACACAAGAGCCTCTAAGAACTTTGGGATCTCCAGCATGGTAAGAATGCATTTGGGGATGTTGTTGAGATGACTGGGTGACTGCAAGCTCCTAAATTTCTTCAAGAGGAGGGCTGATTACCATGAAACCACATGGTAAGAGGCTTGGAACTTTCAGCCTCATGCACTGAACTCCAGGGGGAAGAGGGGCTGGAGACTGACTTAATCACCAACAGCCAAAGGTTTTATCAATCATGCTTGCATAATAAAGCCTCCATAAACACCCTGAAAGGGGTTTGCGGAGCTTTCAGGGTTGCTGGACACAGGAGATGCTGGGAGGGTCGCATGTTCAACAGAGGGCATGGGAGCTCTGTGCCCCTCCGAACTTAACTTTCCCTGGGTATCTTTCTTTTTTTTGAGACAGGATCAGGCTCTTTTGTCCAAGCTGGAGTGCAGTGGCACAATCTCAGCTTACTGTAACCTAAGCCTCCCCAGTCCCCAGCTCAAGGTATCCTCTCATCTCAGCTTCCCTAGTAGTTGGAACTCTAGGTGCACAACACCACACCAGTTATTATTATTATTTTTTAATTTTTTATAGAGACAGGTTTTCACCATGTTGCCCAGGCTGGTCTCAAACTCCTGAGTTTAAGCGATCCTCCCACCTTGGCCTCCCAAAGTGCTGAGATTACAGGCATGAGCCACTGCATCCAGCATGCACGTCTCTTTCATTGACTGTTTCTGAGATGTATCCTTCACAATGAACCAGTAATAGGAAATGAACTGGCCAGATGTGGTGGCTCACATCTGTAATCCCAGCACTTTCAGAGGCTGAGGTGGGAGGATCACTTGAGACCAGGAATTTGTGGCCAGCCTGGCCAACACAACAAGACCCCATCTATACAAAAAATAAAAGAAACTAGCCAGATGTGGTGGTGCAGGCATGTAGTCTCAGCTACTAGGGAGGCTGAGGTGGGAGAACCACTGGAACCCAGACAATCAAGGCTGCAATGAGCTATGACTGCACCATTGCACACCAGCCTGGGCAACAAAATAAGACCCTCTCTCTCAGAAAAAAAGAAAATAAACTGTTTTTCTGAGTTCCGTAAACTGTTCTAGCAAATTATTAAACCCAAGAAGACAGTTACGGGAACCCCCGATTGGTAACAGGTTGGTCAAAAGTATGGTGACAACTTAGGACTTGCCATTGTCATCTGAAGTGAGGATGGCCTCGTGGGACTGAGCCCCTAACTTGTGGGGTCTGTGCTAACTCCAGGTAGTGTCAGAATAAAGTCATGGGATACCCAGTTAATATCCAGAGCACTGAAGAATCTGGTGTAGAAACTCCATACATACATTCAGTCGGAAGTGTGTGAGTAGAGACAAACATGGGCTTTTCTGTCACCTACCTGCTTAACTGCATAGGAGAGGCAATATGTGGTGCTCATGAACAAAGCAAACATTAAAGTCAGACCAGACCCAACATTTGACTCAGTCTTAATATCCAGGTGAGCCTGCGCAAATCATTCATTATTCCTAAGGTTTTCATCACTCCATTCATAAAATGGGGATAACTGTGGCACCTACATGTGATTCTGTGAGAATTAACAAAATATTATGCTTGGGGTTATTGTGATCATTATACCTGTTCCAAACTATTTGACAAGGACAGTGATGGATGAAGACATCAAAAAATCAGAAACTGCAATGAGGTCTCTCAGGCAAAATTCCATACAAGCAAATTACTGTGTCTACAAAGCATTCCTGCCACACTTAATTCACCATTCCCTGAACAAAATATGCCATCTTCATTGTTCAGGTCTGTACAGTGCTGGTGTCCCTTCCCGGGCAGTTTGCGCTATCCCATCCCGGCCCATTCCCCATCCCTCCACCTCCCCCTTCCCTCCCCACTCTCATACAACTCTTCCTCATCTTTCAGGACTTGGCTTCAATGTCACCTTAACTGGAAGCTTCTCTCACTCTCCAGAAGAGCTTCCCATTGCACCTGATGCATGGGAAACATAATTTGATCATTTTTAAGTTACAGTCCAAATCTTTTTGTACCTGAATAACATGTTGCCCAGTCAGTCTCTCTTCCTGGATTCACAAGTCTTTCATGGTAGATCCAGCTGGAAGTGACAAAAAGACATCTTTTGACATAAAGGGATGACACAGACAGACATAAGTTCTTAAATGTCTTAAATGTTATGTGAAAATTAAACAGAATTCAAAGACTTGTGGGGAGCACTTAGGAAGTTACTGGGAATGTCATAAAGGGTTAATTTGTATTTTATTTTATTTTTTGAGACAGTCTCATTCTGTCACCTAGGCTGGAGTGCAGTGGTGCAATCAGGCTCACTGCAGCCTTGACCACCTGGGCTCAAGTAATCTCACTTAATTTTTATTTGGTTTAAGAAACTCTTGGTTGAGGGTGGTGGCTTATGCCTGTAATCTCAGCACTTTGGGAGGCTGAGAGAGGTATATTACTTGAGGCCAGGAGTTTGAGATCAGACTGGGCAATATATTAAGACCCTGCCTCTACCAAAAAACAGAGTGAATGTGTGGAAGACAATTTTTCCACAGACTGGGAATGAGGGAATAATTTCAGGATGATTCAAGTGCATTACATATATTGTGCACTTTATTTCTATTATTACTACATAGTAATATATAATGAAATGATTCTACAACTCACTATAATGTAGACTCAGTGGGATCTCTGAGCTTGTTTTCCTGCAACTAGACTGTCCACCTGGGGTGATGGGAGACAGTAACAGAATATCAGGCATTAGATTCTCATAAGGAGTACACAACCTAGATCCCTCGCATGCACACTTCACAACAGAGTTTGTGCTCCTATGACAATCTAATGCTGCTGCTGATCTGACAGGACATGGAGCTCAGGTGGTCATGCAAGCGATGGGAGGGGCTAGAAATACAGATGAAGTTTCCCTTCACTCGCCTGCTGCTCACCTCCAGCTCTGTGGCCCTGTGGTTGGAGACCGCTGCTCAAGTGCATTTGAAAGGAACCATCCCACGCCATTCTTCAGAGTCATCTTTACTGCTGCAGTGGTCAACTTGTAGCACCCCTAAGCTTGCAGGACATATGCTTCAACTGGCATTTCACAATCAACAGTATGTGGCAGCTTGAGTCATTGTGAGCGCACTTCCTGGAAATCACCAGCATCCCATATCCCATTGCAAGGAGCTCAGCACTGCTCCTTGGATAACCAAACCTATTCCCAAATCCCATCTGTGTGCGTCTATCTCCTGGTACCCTTCCTAGCATCAATTCTGTATTTGTAGGAGTCCAATCAGGAGACACAAACCACTCAAAAGTTTAAACTAGAATGAGCAAGATGGCTCACACCTGTAATCCCAGAACTCTGGGAGGCCAAGGTGGGTGGACTGCTTTGAGCTCAGGAGTTTGAGAACAGTCTGGGAAACATGGCGAAACCTCGTCTCTACAAAAAACACAAAAATCAGCTGGGTGTGGTGGCACTTACCTGTAATCCCAGCTACTCGGGAGGCTGAGGCAGGAGAATTGCTTGAGCCTGGCAGGTGGAGGCTGCAGTGAGCAGAGGTTGTGCCACTGTACTCCAGCCTGGGTGACAGTGTGAGACCCAGTATCAAAAAGAAAAAACATATATATATATGTAAATTTAATATAAAAAGTATTAATTTTGGCCAGGCAAAATGGCTCATGCCTGTAATCCCAGCACTTTGGGAGGCCAAGGCAGACAGATCACCTGAGGTCAGGAGTTCGAGACCAGCCTGACCAGCACAGAGAAACCCCATATCTACTAAAAATACAAAATTAGCTGGGCATGGTGGCACATGCCTGTAATCCCAACTACTCGGGAGGCTGAGGCAGGAGAATTGCTTGAACCCAGAAGGTGGAGGTTGCGCTGAGCCGAGATAGCACCATTGCACTCCAGCCTGGGCAACAAGAGTGAAACTCCATCTCAAAAAAAAAAAAAAAGGTATTAATTTTTACAGAGGATCAGCACAATGAGGGACACACTAGCACAAAGTAAAGACAACTCTAGAGAATACGGAACTAGCAGAGGCCAGGCATTGTGGCTCATGCCTGTAATCCCAGCAATTTGGGAAGCCTAGGCAGGAGGATCGCTTGAGGCCAGGAGTTGGAGACCAATCAGTGCTAAATAGTGAGACTCTGTGTCTACCAAAAAAAAGAGACATTAGCCAGGTGTGGTGGTGGTGCACACCCGTAGTTCCAGCTACTTGGGAGTCTGGGGTGGGAGAAATCCCTTGAGCCTGGGAAGTCTACACTACAGTGAGCCAAGATTGTGCCACTGCACTCCAGCCTGGGTGACAGAGTGAGACCCTGTCTTAGAAAGAAAAAAGAAAAGAAAGTGTTAATCCCCCTATGGGAATCTCCTCTTCTCCTGCCCTCTCTGGAACCTCACTTGTCAGTTCTTCCTCCCACTTTCCTGTATCTTTAACCTATCCCCCACTTTTAGCTCCTTCCCATCATCATTTAAATTACTCAAACTTCTTCTGTTTTAAAAACCTCTCCCTAAACTCAGGGAGAGGTCTTCTGCACACACATTGAGCCATCTGCTCTTCCTGGTGCCTTCTCTACAGCAGCCTGAGCCATGTCTCTAATCTATGAATCTCATCATGTTACTCCCCCATTTACATCACTTCTCCTTGCCTCAGGGATTAAGTCCAAACTCCTTAACAGCCCCTGCTCTGCCCTGCCTTGCAAGGCAGCCTCACTGCTTGCCCCTCTCCATTACATCTGCTATGGAGTCCAACTGAGCCTCATCTGCCCCTTGAACGCACACTCTTTCTCCTCTGGGAGTCTCTGAAGTGGGTAATATCCTCTGCTTATAATATGCTTCCCCTTAAACCTCTACTCTCTTCCTAGCTAGCTTTGACTCCTCTGTCACTTGTCCGCTTTGGCATCACCTCCTCATAGAAGACTTCTATGACTCCCGAGATTCTCAGGAGCATGGCAGGTGAAGTGCTCCTCCCATGAATGGATGGAGATTAAGGAGTGTGTGTTATTCATGCTTAATTCACCAGTGCTTAGCTGAGTACCTGGCATAAAATAGTTACTGTGGTGGCCAAAGTAATAACCCCCACCGCCACCAATTGCTCATGTCCTATGTTACACAGCACAATTACATAGGAAGGGGGAATTAAGAGTGCAGATAAAATTAATGTTGCTCATCAGCTGACCTTAAAACAAGATTATCCTGGAGTATCTAGGAGAGCCCATGTAATTACAAGCATTCTTTAAAACTGGAAGAGGGAGGCAGAAGGTTAAGAACCAGAGACGGTGGGCACAATGGCTCATGCCTGTAATACCAATACTTTGGGAGGCCAGGGTAGGAAAATCCCTTGAGTGCAGGAGTTCAAGGTCAGCCATGGCAACATACTGAGGTCCCATCTCTACAACAAAATAAAAACAAAATTCACTGAGTGTCACGATGCTTACCTGTAGTTCCAGCTACTGGGAAGGCTGACATGGTAGGATTGCTTGAGCCTGGGAGTTTGAGGCTATAATGAGCCATGATAGGACCACTGAACTCCATCCTGAGTGACAGGGCAAGGTCCTGTTTCTGAAGAAAAAAAGGACATTGGAATCAGGGCCCTCTCCATGCTGAGGTGCCTACAAGGCATCTCTCTCTGCAAATGAGTAAACATCACCCTCCAACTCCTTACAGAGTGGAGCAACAGGAAAACTCCTTCACCTCATTTCTGTGCTGCTTGGGAGGCCTGGACAGCCCAATAACCAGCTCCTCGCTGATGAAGCAATCAGGAAATGGCTCGAGTTGAGCTAAGGAGAATTTGGATCCTTCCTTTGGTTCTCAGTAGGCAGGGTAGGGGCCAGGCATGGTGGCTCATACCTGTAATCCTTGCACTGTGGGGGGCCAAGGTGAGAGGATTGCTTGAGGCCAGGAGCTCAAGACCAGCCTGGACAACATAGCAAGACCTGGGTGGCATACACCTGTGGTCCCTACTACTTGGTAGGATGAGGTGGGAGGATTGATCACTTGATCCCAGGAGTTTCAGGCTGCAGTGAGCCATGATCACACCACTGCACTTCAGCCTGGGTGACAGAGCCAGACCATGTCACAAAAAGTTAGAAAAAAAAAAAAGAGAGGGAGAGAGACTATACACAGGCACCACCACATTTGGCTAATTTTTAAATATTCTGTAGAGACAAGGTCTTGCTAGGTTGCCCAGGCTAGTCTAAAACTCCTGGCATCAGGCTGGGCATGGTGGCTCATGCTTGTAATCGCAGCACTTTGGGAAGCTAAGGCAGGCAAATCACCTGAAGTCTGGAGTTCGAGACCAGCCTGGCCAACACGGTGAAACTCTGACTCTATCAAAAATACAAAAATTAGCTGGGCAGTAGTGGCGTGTACCTGTAGTCTCACCTACTCGGGAGGCTGAGGCAGGAGAATCACTTGAACCTGGGAGGTGGAGGTTGCAGTGGACCCCATCACTGCACTCCACCCTGGGTGACAGAGCGAGACTGTCAAAAACAACAACAACAATAACAAAAACAAAAACAACAACAACAAAAAAAACTCCTGGCATCAAGACATCTTCCTGTCTTAGCCTCCCAAAGCCCTGGGATTATACTGTTTCCTATAATTGAAGACACTTGTTCTTATACTGCTTTAAGGTATAAAGGAAGAAAAAAAAAACAGATAATGGCAAATGTTGGTGAAGGCCGGGCATGGTGGCAGCCTGTAATTCCAGAACTTAGGGAGGCTGAGGTGGGCAGATCACTTGAGGCCAGGAGTATGAGACCAGCCTGGGCAACATGGTAAAATCCCACCACTACAGAAAAATCTAAAAATTAGCCAGGCATGGTGGCGTACACCTGTAATTTTCAGCTACCCAGGAGGCTGAGATGAGAGAATCACTTGTGCCTGGGAGGTCACGGCTGCAGTGAACTGTGATGGCATCATTGCACTGCGGCCTGAGAGACAGAGCAAGCCCCTATCTAGAAAAAAAAAATGTCAGTGAAGATGTGGAGGAATTGGAACCCACATACATTACTGGTGGGAACATAAAATTGTGTAACCATTTTGTTTGGGTATTTCTTTTCTTGTCATTTTAATTGGATTTTTAAAAAATCAAGACGGGGTTTCACTATCTTGCCCAGGCTGGTCTTGAATTCACAGGCTCAAGCCATCCTCCTAGCTGAGCCTCCTGAGTAGCTGGGATTACAGGTGTGAGCCATTGCACCCAACTGGTATAGCCACGTTAGAAAACAGTCTGGCAGTTTCTCAAAAGGCTAAATGTACAGTCATCCTATAATGCAACAATTTCACTCCTAGGCATATATCCCAGAAAAATAAAAATATATGTCCACACAAAAACTTGTACAACAATCTTCATAGCAGCATTATTCATAACGACCAATACATGGAATACATGGAAACAACCCAAATATCCACCAACTGATGAACAGATAAACAAAATGCAGTGTGTCTCTACCATGGAATACTGCCATAGAAGGAATGAAATATTGATACACACTATGACATAAAGGAACTTTGAAAACACTGTGCTAAGAGGGAAAAAAAGCCACAAAAGATCACATATTGTACAATTCTATTTGTCCAGATTAGGCAAATCTATAGTGACAAAAAATTAATCAATGGTTGCCTAAGGCTGGGGGCAAAGGTAGGTGGGGAGAGTAGGAGGTAGTAGCTAAGGGGTATGGATTTCTCTATAGGGTAATGAAAGGTTCTAAAAGTGACTGTGGTGATCGATGCACAGCTCTGTGAATATTCTAAAACCTACTGAATTGCAGATTTCAATAAATAAAGTGAATGGCATTTGAATATTTTAATAAAGCTATTATTTAAAATAATAATAATAGGGGGCTGGGCACAGGTGGTCATGCCTGCCTGTAATCCCAGCACTTTGGGAGGCTGAGGCAGGAGGATCACTTGAGGTCAGGAGTTTTGAGCCCAGTCGGAGCAACATGGCAAGATCCCGTCTCTATGATAAAAAATTAGCTGGACATGGTGGCACATGTCTGTAGTCCCAGCTACTTGGGAGACTGAAGTGAGAGAACCACTTGAGCCCAGGAGTTTGAGGCTACAGTGAACCATGATCATGTCACTGTACTGTAGCCTAAGCAACAGAGCAAGACGCTGTCTCTGAAAAGGAAAGAAAACAAATGCAAGTTTTTATCACTTTGTGAGTGTAGCCAAGTTGGAGGAGAAATAGACAATAATAAAAGAGCACTGAATAATGACGGTGAGTGGCTGGTTAGGCTCAGTTGCTAGCTAAATGGCTTCTAAAAAATTCAATAAAGTTACAGCTCTGGGGACAGTCATGTAGTCAAAGAATGAAGGCGAAATTCATTACAATTGCCCATGGTCTTTATTTACATGCCTTCTAGTGAAAAATTCCTAAGTGCCTAAACAGCAAGTCTGCAATGATAGCAGCTGTTTATTAAAGACTACAAAAAAGAAATGGAGGCCGGGCGTGGTTGTTCACATCTGTACTCCTTGAATTTTGGGAGGCTGAGGCAGGCAGATTGCCTGAGGTCAGGAGCTCCAGAGGAGCCTGGCCAATATGGTGAAATCCCATCTCTACTAAAAATACAAAAATTAGCTGGGTATGGTGGCGGGCACCTGTAATCCCAGCTACTCGGGAGGCTGAGGCAGGAGAATTGCTTGGACCCAGAAGGTGAAGGTTGCAGTGAGCCAAAATCGCACCATTGCACTCCAGCCTGGGTGACAAGAGAAAGACTCTTATCTTAAAAAAAAAAAGAAAAAAAAGAAATGGCATCTTCTTCAAGAATTACATCGTGTTTCATGATAAAGAAGCTCTAATTTTGCATTTGTTCAAGTATTGATGAGATTTACCCAATATGACACCCATCTTGGATAAAATGCAAACAACACAATTTCATTTTGTCATTAACAAAACCGATTAAGTAGTCTAATATAAATTGCGATCTTATTAAAAACTGATCAGATTAAAAAAATTATGGAATTATGGAGCCAATAAGATGTTACAACCTGTTCCAAGGGGAATTCCAAAATCCACACATATCTGAGACCATCAAGTATGATGAAATATATTTGATTACTATATTGAAAAATAAACTGATTACATAGCCAACAATTGGACAGGGGTCTCCTCATCCACAGCCACACAAACCCGATCATGCAGCTATGTGGTTACAAGGCCTACATAGCCTAGAAGGGACTGGTCTGACTTGAGATTTCATTTGTATTTGTATTTTGAGACAGGGTCCCACTCTGTCACCCAGGATGGAGTGCAGTGGTATAATCATAGCTCACTGCAACCTTGACCAACTGGGCTCAAGAGATGCTCCAGCCTCAGCTGCCCCCATACCTGGGAATACAGGCAAGTACCACCATGTCAGGCATTTTTTTCATTTTTGTAGAGAGAGAAGACTTGCTATGTTGCCCAAGCTGGCCTCAAACTCCTAGAATCAAGAGATCTGCCCATCTCAGCCACATGAGTAACTGGGGCCATAGGTACATACCATCATGCCTGGCTATATTTATTTTATTTTATTAAATTTATTTTTTTTATTTTTGTAGAGAGGAGGTCTTGCTGTGTTGCCCAGGCTGCTCTCAAACTCATGGCCTTAAAACATACTCCCATCTCTGCCTCTCAAACTGTTGGAACTATAGGTGTGAGCCACTGTACCTGGCCTGACTTGGGATTTCTTTTATCTAGCATCCTTTACTTGGTAGGATTGGGAAAAGCAGTAGTGTTTTTTAAAATTACTTAATAATTCAATCAGAATCAAACTCAACCTTGACCACTGCCTTCTCTCACAGCTCACATCCAGTCTGTCAGGAAATCCTACTGACTGACTTCAATATGTATCCAGGCTCTAACCATCTCTCACCACCACCATGAACCCCGTCAGGATCACTATCATCTCCCACCGGGATGTTGCCACAGCTTGGCCCCCATGCTTCTACCCAAATCTTCCCATAGTCTTTCTCAACTCGGCAGCCAGGTCGTGCTTTTAAATCAGGAGACGGATCATGTCGCCTCTCTGCTCAGAAGCCCTTGGTGGTTCCCATTTTAGTCAGAGTAAAAGCCAAAGCCCCAGCAATAGCGTCCCAGGGCTTACACGATCTGTACCGACCCCAGCCCAGCAACTCCCTGGCCTCCTCGCTGACTTCGCTCCCTCTATCTCTTTGCTCCACTGGCCTCCTTCCAGAGCCTCAGACACACCAGAGAGTTTCCTCCTAATGCCTTTATCCTGTTGACTCAGCCTACAATGCTCTTCCCTCAGCACCTTGGCCAGCTCCATCACCTGCTTCAAACTTTTGCTCAATATTCACTTATGAGGCCAACCCTGACCACTCTACTTAACACTGCCATCCGTCCCCATTCCCACCATGCTCATTTCTTTCTTTTTGAAACAAGGTCTTGCTTTATTGCCCAGGCTGGAGTACACTGGTGCAATCACAGCTCACAGCAACTTCAACCTCCCAGGCTTAAACAATCCTCCCGCCTCAGCCACCCTAGGAACTGAGACTACAGCTGCATGCCACAACACATGGCTTTTTTTTTTTTGAGACGGAGTCTCGGTCGCCCAGGCTGAAGTGTAAGGGTGCGATCTTGGCTCACTGCAATGTCTGCCTTTTGGGTTCAAGTGATTCTCTGCCTCCCAAGTAGCTGGGATTACAGGCACCCACCACCACACCTGGCTAATGTTTGTATTTTTAGTAGAGATGGGGTTTCACCATCTTGGCTAGGCTGGTCTTGAACTTCTGACCTCGTGATCCACCCTCCTCGGCCTCCCAAAGTGCTGGGATTACAGGCGTGAGCCACTGCGCCTGGCCTTTAAAAACATTTTTTTTTAGACATGAGGTCTCATTATGTTGCCCAGGCTGGTCTTAAGCTCCTGGGCTTAAGCGATCCTCCCACCTCAGCCTCCTAAAGTTCTGGGATTACAGGCGTGAGCAACTGTAACATGAGGTCCCAGCTTCATGTTCATTTTTTGTTGTTGCTACAACAAAGTACCCTACATTTAGTGGCATCAAACACCACAAATCTACCATCTTACAGTTCTGGGGGCCAGAAGCCCAACTAGGTCTATCAAGGCTAAAGTCAAGGTGTCAGAGAGGCTGCATTCCTTCTGGGGGAGGCTCTAGACAGAATGTGCTCCTTTGCCTTTTCCAGCTTCTAGAAGCCACCTCCATTCCTTGACTTACCTCGTGACTCCATATTCAAGGCCAGAAGTGCAGCATCTTCAAATCTCCCTCTCTGACCTCTTCTTCCATTACCACATCACTTTCTCTAATTCTGACTCTCCTACCTCATTCTCTTATAAAGATC
>NT_167220.1:0-15008 GCF_000001405.40 Homo sapiens | reverse complement strand
GATCCACCTCTGTTAGCTGAGTTCACACATCACAAACAAGTTTATGAGAATGCTTCTGTCTAGTTTTTATTTGAAGATATTTCCTTTCTCACCATAGAGCTGAAAGCTGTCCTAATGTTCACTTCCAGATACTACAGAAAGAGTGTTTCAAAACTGCTGTACGAAAGGGAATGTTCAACTCTGTGACTTGAATGCACACATCACAAAGAAGTTTCTGAGGATGCTGCTGTCTACTTTTTATACGTAATCCCGTTTCCAACGAAATCCTCCAAGCTATCCAAATATCCACTTGCAGATTCCACAGAAAGACTGTTTCAAAACTGCTCTGTCAATAGAAAGGTTCAACTCTGTTAGCTGCGTGCATATATCCCAAAGAAGATTCTGAGATTGCTTCTGTCTAGTTTTTATGGGAAGATATTTCCCTTTTCACCGTAGGCGTCAAGGCGCTCCAAATGTCCACTTCCAGATACTACAAAAAGAGTGTTTCAAACCTACTCTGTGAAAGGGAATATTCAACTCTGTGACTTGAATGCACATATCACAAAGAAGTTTCTGAGAATGCTTCTGTCGAGATTTTGTATGAAGATATTCCCGTTTCCAACGAAATCCTGAAATCTATCCAAATTTCCCCTCGCAGATTCTACAAAAAGAGTGTTTCAAAACTGCTCTGTAAAAAGAAAGGTTCAACTCTGTTAGTTGAGTACACACATCACAAACAAGTTTCACAGAATGCTTCTTTCTAGCTTGTAGGGGAAGATATTCCCTTTATCACCATGGGCCTCCAACCGTCCGAAACATCCACTTCCATATACTACACAAAGAGCGTTTCAAACCTGCTCTATGAAAGGCAATGTTCAACTCTGTGACTTGAATACAGACATCACAGAGCAGTTTCTGAGAATGCTTCTGTCTAGATTTTATAGGAAGATATTCCCGTTTCCAACGAAATCTTCACAGCTATCCAAATATCCACTTGCAGATTCTACAAAAAGAGTGTATCAAAACTGCTCTGTCAAAAGGAAGGTTCTTCTCTGTTAGGTGAGTGCATACGTCATAAAGGAGTTTCTGAGAATGTTTCTGTCTAGTGGTTATGGGAAGATATTTGCTTTTTCACCGTAGGCCTCAGAGCGCTCCAAATATCCACTTGCACATACTACAAAAAGAGTGCTTCAAAGCTGGTCTCTGAAACGGAATGTTCAACTCTATGAGTTGAATGCAAACATCACAAAGACGTTTCTGAGAATGCTTCTGTCTAGATTTGATATGAAGATATTCCCGTTTCCAACGAAATCTTCAAATCTATCCAAATGTCCACTTGCAGATTCAACAAAAAGTGTTTTTCAGAACTGCTCTATCAAAAGAAAGATCCACCTCTGTTAGATGAGTTCACACATCACAAACAAGTTTATGAGAATGCTTCTGTCTAGTTTTTATTTGAAGATATTTCCTTTCTCACCATAGAGCTGAAAGCTGTCCTAATGTTCACTTCCAGATACTACAGAAAGAGTGTTTCAAAACTGCTGTACGAAAGGGAATGTTCAACTCTGTGACTTGAATGCACACATCACAAAGAAGTTTCTGAGGATGCTGCTGTCTACTTTTTATACGTAATCCCGTTTCCAACGAAATCCTCCAAGCTATCCAAATATCCACTTGCAGATTCCACAGAAAGACTGTTTCAAAACTGCTCTGTCAATAGAAAGGTTCAACTCCGTTAGCTGCGTGCATATATCCCAAAGAAGATTCTGAGATTGCTTCTGTCTAGTTTTTATGGGAAGATATTTCCCTTTTCACCGTAGGCGTCAAGGCGCTCCAAATGTCCACTTCCAGATACTACAAAAAGAGTGTTTCAAACCTACTCTGTGAAAGGGAATATTCAACTCTGTGACTTGAATGCACATATCACAAAGAAGTTTCTGAGAATGCTTCTGTCGAGATTTTGTATGAAGATATTCCCGTTTCCAACGAAATCCTGAAATCTATCCAAATTTCCCCTCGCAGATTCTACAAAAAGAGTGTTTCAAAACTGCTCTGTGAAAAGAAACGTTCAACTCTGTTAGTTGAGTACACACATCACAAACAAGTTTCACAGAATGCTTCTTTCTAGCTTGTAGAGGAAGATATTCCCTTTATCACCATGGGCCTCCAACCGTCCGAAACATCCACTTCCATATACTACAAAAAGAGCGTTTCAAACCTGCTCTATGAAAGGCAATGTTCAACTCTGTGACTTGAATACAGACATCACAGAGCAGTTTCTGAGAATGCTTCTGTCTAGATTTTATAGGAAGATATTCCCGTTTCCAACGAAATCTTCACAGCTATCCAAATATCCACTTGCAGATTCTACAAAAAGAGTGTATCAAAACTGCTCTGTCAAAAGGAAGGTTCTTCTCTGTTAGGTGAGTGCATACGTCATAAAGGAGTTTCTGAGAATGTTTCTGTCTAGTGGTTATGGGAAGATATTTGCTTTTTCACCGTAGGCCTCAGAGCGCTCCAAATATCCACTTGCACATACTACAAAAAGAGTGCTTCAAAGCTGGTCTCTGAAACGGAATGTTCAACTCTATGAGTTGAATGCAAACATCACAAAGACGTTTCTGAGAATGCTTCTGTCTAGATTTGATATGAAGATATTCCCGTTTCCAACGAAATCTTCAAATCTATCCAAATGTCCACTTGCAGATTCAACAAAAAGTGTTTTTCAGAACTGCTCTATCAAAAGAAAGATCCACCTCTGTTAGATGAGTTCACACATCACAAACAAGTTTATGAGAATGCTTCTGTCTAGTTTTTATTTGAAGATATTTCCTTTCTCACCATAGAGCTGAAAGCTGTCCTAATGTTCACTTCCAGATACTACAGAAAGAGTGTTTCAAAACTGCTGTACGAAAGGGAATGTTCAACTCTGTGACTTGAATGCACACATCACAAAGAAGTTTCTGAGGATGCTGCTTTCTACTTTTTATACGTAATCCCGTTTCCAACGAAATCCTCCAAGCTATCCAAATATCCACTTGCAGATTCCACAGAAAGACTGTTTCAAAACTGCTCTGTCAATAGAAAGGTTCAACTCTGTTAGCTGCGTGCATATATCCCAAAGAAGATTCTGAGATTGCTTCTGTCTAGTTTTTATGGGAAGATATTTCCCTTTTCACCGTAGGCGTCAAGGCGCTCCAAATGTCCACTTCCAGATACTACAAAAAGAGTGTTTCAAACCTACTCTGTGAAAGGGAATATTCAACTCTGTGACTTGAATGCACATATCACAAAGAAGTTTCTGAGAATGCTTCTGTCGAGATTTTGTATGAAGATATTCCCGTTTCCAACGAAATCCTGAAATCTATCCAAATTTCCCCTCGCAGATTCTACAAAAAGAGTGTTTCAAAACTGCTCTGTGAAAAGAAAGGTTCAACTCTGTTAGTTGAGTACACACATCACAAACAAGTTTCACAGAATGCTTCTTTCTAGCTTGTAGGGGAAGATATTCCCTTTATCACCATGGGCCTCCAACAGTCCGAAACATCCACTTCCATATACTACAAAAAGAGCGTTTCAAACCTGCTCTATGAAAGGCAATGTTCAACTCTGTGACTTGAATACAGACATCACAGAGCAGTTTCTGAGAATGCTTCTGTCTAGATTTTATAGGAAGATATTCCCGTTTCCAACGAAATCTTCACAGCTATCCAAATATCCACTTGCAGATTCTACAAAAAGAGTGTATCAAAACTGCTCTGTCAAAAGGAAGGTTCTTTTCTGTTAGGTGAGTGCATACGTCATAAAGGAGTTTCTGAGAATGTTTCTGTCTAGTGGTTATGGGAAGATATTTGCTTTTTCACCGTAGGCCTCAGAGCGCTCCAAATATCCACTTGCACATACTACAAAAAGAGTGCTTCAAAGCTGGTCTCTGAAACGGAATGTTCAACTCTATGAGTTGAATGCAAACATCACAAAGACGTTTCTGAGAATGCTTCTGTCTAGATTTGATATGAAGATATTCCCGTTTCCAACGAAATCTTCAAATCTATCCAAATGTCCACTTGCAGATTCAACAAAAAGTGTTTTTCAGAACTGCTCTATCAAAAGAAAGATCCACCTCTGTTAGCTGAGTTCACACATCACAAACAAGTTTATGAGAATGCTTCTGTCTAGTTTTTATTTGAAGATATTTCCTTTCTCACCATAGAGCTGAAAGCTGTCCTAATGTTCACTTCCAGATACTACAGAAAGAGTGTTTCAAAACTGCTGTACGAAAGGGAATGTTCAACTCTGTGACTTGAATGCACACATCACAAAGAAGTTTCGGAGGATGCTGCTGTCTACTTTTTATGCGTAATCCCGTTTCCAACGAAATCCTCCAAGCTATCCAAATATCCACTTGCAGATTCCACAGAAAGACTGTTTCAAAACTGCTCTGTCAATAGAAAGGTTCAACTCTGTTAGCTGCGTGCATATATCCCAAAGAAGATTCTGAGATTGCTTCTGTCTAGTTTTTATGGGAAGATATTTCCCTTTTCACCGTGGGCGTCAAGGCGCTCCAAATGTCCACTTCCAGATACTACAAAAAGAGTGTTTCAAACCTACTCTGTGAAAGGGAATATTCAACTCTGTGACTTGAATGCACATATCACAAGGAAGTTTCTGAGAATGCTTCTGTCGAGATTTTATATGAAGATATTCCCGTTTCCAACGAAATGCTGAAATGTATCCAAATATCCCCTCGCAGATTCTACAAAAAGAGTGTTTCAAAACTGCTCTGTAAAAAGAAAGGTTCAACTCTGTTAGTTGAGTACACACATCACAAACAAGTTTCACAGAATGCTTCTTTCTAGCTTGTAGGGGAAGATATTCCCTTTATCACCATGGGCCTCAAACCGTCCGAAAAGTCCACTTCCATATACTACAAAAAGAGCGTTTCAAACCTGCTCTATGAAAGGCAATGTTCAACTCTGTGACTTGAATGCAGACATCACAGAGCAGTTTCTGAGAATGCTTCTGTCTAGATTTTATAGGAAGATATTCCCGTTTCCAACGAAATCTTCACAGCTATCCAAATATCCACTTGCAGATTCTACAAAAAGAGTGTATCAAAACTGCTCTGTCAAAAGGAAGGTTCTTTTCTGTTAGGTGAGTGCATACGTCATAAAGGAGTTTCTGAGAATGTTTCTGTCTAGTGGTTATGGGAAGATATTTGCTTTTTCACCGTATTCCTCAGAGCGCTCCAAATATCCACTTGCACATACTACAAAAAGAGTGCCTCAAAGCTGCTCTCTGAAACGGAATGTTCAACTCTATGAGTTGAATGCAAACATCGCAAAGACGTTTCTGAGAATGCTTCTGTCTAGATTTGATATGAAGATATTCCCGTTTCCAACGAAATCTTCAAATCTATCCAAATGTCCACTTGCAGATTCAACAAAAAGTGTTTTTCAGAACTGCTCTATCAAAAGAAAGATCCACCTCTGTTAGATGAGTTCACACATCACAAACAAGTTTATGAGAATGCTTCTGTCTAGTTTTTATTTGAAGATATTTCCTTTCTCACCATAGAGCTGAAAGCTGTCCTAATGTTCACTTCCAGATACTACAGAAAGAGTGTTTCAAAACTGCTGTACGAAAGGGAATGTTCAACTCTGTGACTTGAATGCACACATCACAAAGAAGTTTCTGAGGATGCTGCTTTCTACTTTTTATACGTAATCCCGTTTCCAACGAAATCCTCCAAGCTATCCAAATATCCACTTGCAGATTCCACAGAAAGACTGTTTCAAAACTGCTCTGTCAATAGAAAGGTTCAACTCTGTTAGCTGCGTGCATATATCCCAAAGAAGATTCTGAGATTGCTTCTGTCTAGTTTTTATGGGAAGATATTTCCCTTTTCACCGTAGGCGTCAAGGCGCTCCAAATGTCCACTTCCAGATACTACAAAAAGAGTGTTTCAAACCTACTCTGTGAAAGGGAATATTCAACTCTGTGACTTGAATGCACATATCACAAAGAAGTTTCTGAGAATGCTTCTGTCGAGATTTTGTATGAAGATATTCCCGTTTCCAACGAAATCCTGAAATCTATCCAAATTTCCCCTCGCAGATTCTACAAAAAGAGTGTTTCAAAACTGCTCTGTGAAAAGAAAGGTTCAACTCTGTTAGTTGAGTACACACATCACAAACAAGTTTCACAGAATGCTTCTTTCTAGCTTGTAGGGGAAGATATTCCCTTTATCACCATGGGCCTCCAACAGTCCGAAACATCCACTTCCATATACTACAAAAAGAGCGTTTCAAACCTGCTCTATGAAAGGCAATGTTCAACTCTGTGACTTGAATACAGACATCACAGAGCAGTTTCTGAGAATGCTTCTGTCTAGATTTTATAGGAAGATATTCCCGTTTCCAACGAAATCTTCACAGCTATCCAAATATCCACTTGCAGATTCTACAAAAAGAGTGTATCAAAACTGCTCTGTCAAAAGGAAGGTTCTTTTCTGTTAGGTGAGTGCATACGTCATAAAGGAGTTTCTGAGAATGTTTCTGTCTAGTGGTTATGGGAAGATATTTGCTTTTTCACCGTAGGCCTCAGAGCGCTCCAAATATCCACTTGCACATACTACAAAAAGAGTGCTTCAAAGCTGGTCTCTGAAACGGAATGTTCAACTCTATGAGTTGAATGCAAACATCACAAAGACGTTTCTGAGAATGCTTCTGTCTAGATTTGATATGAAGATATTCCCGTTTCCAACGAAATCTTCAAATCTATCCAAATGTCCACTTGCAGATTCAACAAAAAGTGTTTTTCAGAACTGCTCTATCAAAAGAAAGATCCACCTCTGTTAGCTGAGTTCACACATCACAAACAAGTTTATGAGAATGCTTCTGTCTAGTTTTTATTTGAAGATATTTCCTTTCTCACCATAGAGCTGAAAGCTGTCCTAATGTTCACTTCCAGATACTACAGAAAGAGTGTTTCAAAACTGCTGTACGAAAGGGAATGTTCAACTCTGTGACTTGAATGCACACATCACAAAGAAGTTTCGGAGGATGCTGCTGTCTACTTTTTATGCGTAATCCCGTTTCCAACGAAATCCTCCAAGCTATCCAAATATCCACTTGCAGATTCCACAGAAAGACTGTTTCAAAACTGCTCTGTCAATAGAAAGGTTCAACTCTGTTAGCTGCGTGCATATATCCCAAAGAAGATTCTGAGATTGCTTCTGTCTAGTTTTTATGGGAAGATATTTCCCTTTTCACCGTGGGCGTCAAGGCGCTCCAAATGTCCACTTCCAGATACTACAAAAAGAGTGTTTCAAACCTACTCTGTGAAAGGGAATATTCAACTCTGTGACTTGAATGCACATATCACAAGGAAGTTTCTGAGAATGCTTCTGTCGAGATTTTATATGAAGATATTCCCGTTTCCAACGAAATGCTGAAATGTATCCAAATATCCCCTCGCAGATTCTACAAAAAGAGTGTTTCAAAACTGCTCTGTAAAAAGAAAGGTTCAACTCTGTTAGTTGAGTACACACATCACAAACAAGTTTCACAGAATGCTTCTTTCTAGCTTGTAGGGGAAGATATTCCCTTTATCACCATGGGCCTCAAACCGTCCGAAAAGTCCACTTCCATATACTACAAAAAGAGCGTTTCAAACCTGCTCTATGAAAGGCAATGTTCAACTCTGTGACTTGAATGCAGACATCACAGAGCAGTTTCTGAGAATGCTTCTGTCTAGATTTTATAGGAAGATATTCCCGTTTCCAACGAAATCTTCACAGCTATCCAAATATCCACTTGCAGATTCTACAAAAAGAGTGTATCAAAACTGCTCTGTCAAAAGGAAGGTTCTTTTCTGTTAGGTGAGTGCATACGTCATAAAGGAGTTTCTGAGAATGTTTCTGTGTAGTGGTTATGGGAAGATATTTGCTTTTTCACCGTAGGCCTCAGAGCGCTCCAAATATCCACTTGCACATACTACAAAAAGAGTGCCTCAAAGCTGCTCTCTGAAACGGAATGTTCAACTCTATGAGTTGAATGCAAACATCACAAAGACGTTTCTGAGAATGCTTCTGTCTAGATTTGATATGAAGATATTCCCGTTTCCAACGAAATCTTCAAATCTATCCAAATGTCCACTTGCAGATTCAACAAAAAGTGTTTTTCAGAACTGCTCTATCAAAAGAAAGATCCACCTCTGTTAGCTGAGTTCACACATCACAAACAAGTTTATGAGAATGCTTCTGTCTAGTTTTTATTTGAAGATATTTCCTTTCTCACCATAGAGCTGAAAGCTGTCCTAATGTTCACTTCCAGATACTACAGAAAGAGTGTTTCAAAACTGCTGTACGAAAGGGAATGTTCAACTCTGTGACTTGAATGCACACATCACAAAGAAGTTTCTGAGGATGCTGCTGTCTACTTTTTATACGTAATCCCGTTTCCAACGAAATCCTCCAAGCTATCCAAATATCCACTTGCAGATTCCACAGAAAGACTGTTTCAAAACTGCTCTGTCAATAGAAAGGTTCAACTCTGTTAGCTGCGTGCATATATCCCAAAGAACATTCTGAGATTGCTTCTGTCTAGTTTTTATGGGAAGATATTTCCCTTTTCACCGTAGGCGTCAAGGCGCTCCAAATGTCCACTTCCAGATACTACAAAAAGAGTGTTTCAAACCTACTCTGTGAAAGGGAATATTCAACTCTGTGACTTGAATGCACATATCACAAAGAAGTTTCTGAGAATGCTTCTGTCGAGATTTTGTATGAAGATATTCCCGTTTCCAACGAAATCCTGAAATCTATCCAAATTTCCCCTCGCAGATTCTACAAAAAGAGTGTTTCAAAACTGCTCTGTGAAAAGAAAGGTTCAACTCTGTTAGTTGAGTACACACATCACAAACAAGTTTCACAGAATGCTTCTTTCTAGCTTGTAGGGGAAGATATTCCCTTTATCACCATGGGCCTCAAACCGTCCGAAAAGTCCACTTCCATATACTACAAAAAGAGCGTTTCAAACCTGCTCTATGAAAGGCAATGTTCAACTCTGTGACTTGAATGCAGACATCACAGAGCAGTTTCTGAGAATGCTTCTGTCTAGATTTTATAGGAAGATATTCCCGTTTCCAACGAAATCTTCACAGCTATCCAAATATCCACTTGCAGATTCTACAAAAAGAGTGTATCAAAACTGCTCTGTCAAAAGGAAGGTTCTTTTCTGTTAGGTGAGTGCATACGTCATAAAGGAGTTTCTGAGAATGTTTCTGTCTAGTGGTTATGGGAAGATATTTGCTTTTTCACCGTAGGCCTCAGAGCGCTCCAAATATCCACTTGCACATACTACAAAAAGAGTGCCTCACAGCTGCTCTCTGAAACGGAATGTTCAACTCTATGAGTTGAATGCAAACATCGCAAAGACGTTTCTGAGAATGCTTCTGTCTAGATTTGATATGAAGATATTCCCGTTTCCAACGAAATCTTCAAATCTATCCAAATGTCCACTTGCAGATTCAACAAAAAGTGTTTTTCAGAACTGCTCTATCAAAAGAAAGATCCACCTCTGTTAGCTGAGTTCACACATCACAAACAAGTTTATGAGAATGCTTCTGTCTAGTTTTTATTTGAAGATATTTCCTTTCTCACCATAGAGCTGAAAGCTGTCCTAATGTTCACTTCCAGATACTACAGAAAGAGTGTTTCAAAACTGCTGTACGAAAGGGAATGTTCAACTCTGTGACTTGAATGCACACATCACAAAGAAGTTTCTGAGGATGCTGCTGTCTACTTTTTATACGTAATCCCGTTTCCAACGAAATCCTCCAAGCTATCCAAATATCCACTTGCAGATTCCACAGAAAGACTGTTTCAAAACTGCTCTGTCAATAGAAAGGTTCAACTCTGTTAGCTGCGTGCATATATCCCAAAGAAGATTCTGAGATTGCTTCTGTCTAGTTTTTATGGGAAGATATTTCCCTTTTCACCGTAGGCGTCAAGGCGCTCCAAATGTCCACTTCCAGATACTACAAAAAGAGTGTTTCAAACCTACTCTGTGAAAGGGAATATTCAACTCTGTGACTTGAATGCACATATCACAAAGAAGTTTCTGAGAATGCTTCTGTCGAGATTTTGTATGAAGATATTCCCGTTTCCAACGAAATCCTGAAATGTATCCAAGTTTCCCCTCGCAGATTCTACAAAAAGAGTGTTTCAAAACTGCTCTGTAAAAAGAAAGGTTCAACTCTGTTACTTGAGTACACACATCACAAACAAGTTTCACAGAATGCTTCTTTCTAGCTTGTAGGGGAAGATATTCCCTTTATCACCATGGGCCTCCAACCGTCCGAAACATCCACTTCCATATACTACAAAAAGAGCGTTTCAAACCTGCTCTATGAAAGGCAATGTTCAACTCTGTGACTTGAATACAGACATCACAGAGCAGTTTCTGAGAATGCTTCTGTCTAGATTTTATAGGAAGATATTCCCGTTTCCAACGAAATCTTCACAGCTATCCAAATATCCACTTGCAGATTCTACAAAAAGAGTGTATCAAAACTGCTCTGTCAAAAGGAAGGTTCTTCTCTGTTAGGTGAGTGCATACGTCATAAAGGAGTTTCTGAGAATGTTTCTGTCTAGTGGTTATGGGAAGATATTTGCTTTTTCACCGTAGGCCTCAGAGCGCTCCAAATATCCACTTGCACATACTACAAAAAGAGTGCTTCAAAGCTGGTCTCTGAAACGGAATGTTCAACTCTATGAGTTGAATGCAAACATCACAAAGACGTTTCTGAGAATGCTTCTGTCTAGATTTGATATGAAGATATTCCCGTTTCCAACGAAATCTTCAAATCTATCCAAATGTCCACTTGCAGATTCAACAAAAAGTGTTTTTCAGAACTGCTCTATCAAAAGAAAGATCCACCTCTGTTAGCTGAGTTCACACATCACAAACAAGTTTATGAGAATGCTTCTGTCTAGTTTTTATTTGAAGATATTTCCTTTCTCACCATAGAGCTGAACGCTGTCCTAATGTTCACTTCCAGATACTACAGAAAGAGTGTTTCAAAACTGCTGTACGAAAGGGAATGTTCAACTCTGTGACTTGAATGCACACATCACAAAGAAGTTTCGGAGGATGCTGCTGTCTACTTTTTATGCGTAATCCCGTTTCCAACGAAATCCTCCAAGCTATCCAAATATCCACTTGCAGATTCCACAGAAAGACTGTTTCAAAACTGCTCTGTCAATAGAAAGGTTCAACTCTGTTAGCTGCGTGCATATATCCCAAAGAAGATTCTGAGATTGCTTCTGTCTAGTTTTTATGGGAAGATATTTCCCTTTTCACCGTGGGCGTCAAGGCGCTCCAAATGTCCACTTCCAGATACTACAAAAAGAGTGTTTCAAACCTACTCTGTGAAAGGGAATATTCAACTCTGTGACTTGAATGCACATATCACAAGGAAGTTTCTGAGAATGCTTCTGTCGAGATTTTATATGAAGATATTCCCGTTTCCAACGAAATGCTGAAATGTATCCAAATATCCCCTCGCAGATTCTACAAAAAGAGTGTTTCAAAACTGCTCTGTAAAAAGAAAGGTTCAACTCTGTTAGTTGAGTACACACATCACAAACAAGTTTCACAGAATGCTTCTTTCTAGCTTGTAGGGGAAGATATTCCCTTTATCACCATGGGCCTCAAACCGTCCGAAACATCCACTTCCATATACTACAAAAAGAGCGTTTCAAACCTGCTCTATGAAAGGCAATGTTCAACTCTGTGACTTGAATGCAGACATCACAGAGCAGTTTCTGAGAATGCTTCTGTCTAGATTTTATAGGAAGATATTCCCGTTTCCAACGAAATCTTCACAGCTATCCAAATATCCACTTGCAGATTCTACAAAAAGAGTGTATCAAAACTGCTCTGTCAAAAGGAAGGTTCTTTTCTGTTAGGTGAGTGCATACGTCATAAAGGAGTTTCTGAGAATGTTTCTGTCTAGTGGTTATGGGAAGATATTTGCTTTTTCACCGTATTCCTCAGAGCGCTCCAAATATCCACTTGCACATACTACAAAAAGAGTGCCTCAAAGCTGCTCTCTGAAACGGAATGTTCAACTCTATGAGTTGAATGCAAACATCGCAAAGAAGTTTCTGAGAATGCTTCTGTCTAGATTTGATATGAAGATATTCCCGTTTCCAACGAAATCTTCAAATCTATCCAAATGTCCACTTGCAGATTCAACAAAAAGTGTTTTTCAGAACTGCTCTATCAAAAGAAAGATCCACCTCTGTTAGATGAGTTCACACATCACAAACAAGTTTATGAGAATGCTTCTGTCTAGTTTTTATTTGAAGATATTTCCTTTCTCACCATAGAGCTGAAAGCTGTCCTAATGTTCACTTCCAGATACTACAGAAAGAGTGTTTCAAAACTGCTGTACGAAAGGGAATGTTCAACTCTGTGACTTGAATGCACACATCACAAAGAAGTTTCTGAGGATGCTGCTTTCTACTTTTTATACGTAATCCCGTTTCCAACGAAATCCTCCAAGCTATCCAAATATCCACTTGCAGATTCCACAGAAAGACTGTTTCAAAACTGCTCTGTCAATAGAAAGGTTCAACTCTGTTAGCTGCGTGCATATATCCCAAAGAAGATTCTGAGATTGCTTCTGTCTAGTTTTTATGGGAAGATATTTCCCTTTTCACCGTAGGCGTCAAGGCGCTCCAAATGTCCACTTCCAGATACTACAAAAAGAGTGTTTCAAACCTACTCTGTGAAAGGGAATATTCAACTCTGTGACTTGAATGCACATATCACAAAGAAGTTTCTGAGAATGCTTCTGTCGAGATTTTGTATGAAGATATTCCCGTTTCCAACGAAATCCTGAAATCTATCCAAATTTCCCCTCGCAGATTCTACAAAAAGAGTGTTTCAAAACTGCTCTGTGAAAAGAAAGGTTCAACTCTGTTAGTTGAGTACACACATCACAAACAAGTTTCACAGAATGCTTCTTTCTAGCTTGTAGGGGAAGATATTCCCTTTATCACCATGGGCCTCCAACCGTCCGAAACATCCACTTCCATATACTACAAAAAGAGCGTTTCAAACCTGCTCTATGAAAGGCAATGTTCAACTCTGTGACTTGAATACAGACATCACAGAGCAGTTTCTGAGAATGCTTCTGTCTAGATTTTATAGGAAGATATTCCCGTTTCCAACGAAATCTTCACAGCTATCCAAATATCCACTTGCAGATTCTACAAAAAGAGTGTATCAAAACTGCTCTGTCAAAAGGAAGGTTCTTCTCTGTTAGGTGAGTGCATACGTCATAAAGGAGTTTCTGAGAATGTTTCTGTCTAGTGGTTATGGGAAGATATTTGCTTTTTCACCGTAGGCCTCAGAGCGCTCCAAATATCCACTTGCACATACTACAAAAAGAGTGCTTCAAAGCTGGTCTCTGAAACGGAATGTTCAACTCTATGAGTTGAATGCAAACATCACAAAGACGTTTCTGAGAATGCTTCTGTCTAGATTTGATATGAAGATATTCCCGTTTCCAACGAAATCTTCAAATCTATCCAAATGTCCACTTGCAGATTCAACAAAAAGTGTTTTTCAGAACTGCTCTATCAAAAGAAAGATCCACCTCTGTTAGATGAGTTCACACATCACAAACAAGTTTATGAGAATGCTTCTGTCTAGTTTTTATTTGAAGATATTTCCTTTCTCACCATAGAGCTGAAAGCTGTCCTAATGTTCACTTCCAGATACTACAGAAAGAGTGTTTCAAAACTGCTGTACGAAAGGGAATGTTCAACTCTGTGACTTGAATGCACACATCACAAAGAAGTTTCTGAGGATGCTGCTGTCTACTTTTTATACGTAATCCCGTTTCCAACGAAATCCTCCAAGCTATCCAAATATCCACTTGCAGATTCCACAGAAAGACTGTTTCAAAACTGCTCTGTCAATAGAAAGGTTCAACTCTGTTAGCTGCGTGCATATATCCCAAAGAAGATTCTGAGATTGCTTCTGTCTAGTTTTTATGGGAAGATATTTCCCTTTTCACCGTAGGCGTCAAGGTGCTCCAAATGTCCACTTCCAGATACTACAAAAAGAGTGTTTCAAACCTACTCTGTGAAAGGGAATATTCAACTCTGTGACTTGAATGCACATATCACAAAGAAGTTTCTGAGAATGCTTCTGTCGAGATTTTGTATGAAGATATTCCCGTTTCCAACGAAATCCTGAAATCTATCCAAATTTCCCCTCGCAGATTCTACAAAAAGAGTGTTTCAAAACTGCTCTGTGAAAAGAAAGGTTCAACTCTGTTAGTTGAGTACACACATCACAAACAAGTTTCACAGAATGCTTCTTTCTAGCTTGTAGGGGAAGATATTCCCTTTATCAGCATGGGCCTCCAACCGTCCGAAACATCCACTTCCATATACTACAAAAAGAGCGTTTCAAACCTGCTCTATGAAAGGCAATGTTCAACTCTGTGACTTGAATACAGACATCACAGAGCAGTTTCTGAGAATGCTTCTGTCTAGATTTTACAGGAAGATATTCCCGTTTCCAACGAAATCTTCACAGCTATCCAAATATCCACTTGCAGATTCTACAAAAAGAGTGTATCAAAACTGCTCTGTCAAAAGGAAGGTTCTTCTCTGTTAGGTGAGTGCAAACGTCATAAAGGAGTTTCTGACAATATTTCTGTCTAGTGGTTATGGGAAGATATTTGCTTTTTCACCTTAGGCCTCAGAGGACTCCAAATATCCACTTGCACGTACTACAAAAAGAGTGCTTCAAAGCTGCTCTCTGAAAGGGAATGTTCAACTCTATGAGTTGAATGCAAACATCACAAAGACGTTTCTGAGAATGCTTCTGTCTAGATTTGATATGAAGATATTCCCGTTTCCAACGAAATCTTCAAATCTATCCAAATGTCCACTTGCAGATTCAACAAAAAGTGTTTTTCAGAACTGCTCTATCAAAAGAAAGATC
>NT_187497.1:128283-157432 GCF_000001405.40 Homo sapiens | reverse complement strand
TATTGATTCTTCCTACCCATGAGCATGAAATGTTCTTCATTTGTTTGTATCCTCTTTTATTTCCTTGAGCAGTGGTTTGTAGTTCTCCTTGAAGAGGTCCTTCACATCCCTTATAAGTTGGATTCCTAGGTATTTTATTCTCTTTGAAGCAATTGTGGATGGAAGTTCACTCATGATTTGGCTCTCTGTTTGTCTGTTGTTGGTGTGTAAGAATGCTTTTGATTTTTGTACATTGATTTTGTATCCTGAGACTTTGCTGAAGTTGCTTATCAGCTTAAGGAGATTTTGGGCTGAGACAATGGGGTTTTCTAGATATACAATCATGTCGTCTGCAAACAGGGACAATTTGACTTCCTCTTTTCCTAATTGAATACCCTTTATTTCCTTCTCCTGCCTAATTGCCCTGGCCAGAACTTCCAACAGTAAGTTGAATAGGAGTGGTGAGAGAGGCCATCCCTACCTTGTGCCAGTTTTCAAAGGGAATGCTTCCAGTTTTTGTCCATTCAGTATGATATTGGCTGTGGGTTTGTCATAGATAGCTCTTATTATTTTGAAATACATCCCAGCAATACTTAATTTATTGAGAGTTTTTAGCATGAAGTGTTGCTGAATTTTGTCAAAGGCCTTTTCTGCATCTATTGAGATAATCATGTGACTTTTGTCTTTGGCTCTGTTTATATGCTGGATTACATTTATTGATTTGCGTATATTGAACCAGCCTTGCATCCCAGGGATGAAGCCCACTTGATCATGGTGGATAAGCTTTTTGATGTGCTGCTGGATTCGGTTTGCCAGTATTTTATTGAGGATTTTTGCATCAATGTTCATCAAGGATATTGGTCTATAATTCTCTTTTTTGGTTGTGTCTCTGCCCAGCTTTGGTATCAGAATGATGCTGGCCTCATAAAATGAGTTAGGGAGGATTCCCTCTTTTTCTATTGATTGGAATAGTTTCAGAAGGAATGGTACCAGTTCCTCCTTGTACCTCTGGTAGAATTCGGCTGTGAATCCATCTGTTCCTGGACTCTTTTTGGTTGGTAACCTATTGGTTATTGCCACAATTTCAGAGATTGTTATTGGTCTATTCAGAGATTCAACTTCTTCCTGGTTTAGTCTTGGGAGAGTGTATGTGTCAAGGAATTTATCCATTTCTTCTAGATTTTCTAGTTTATTTGCGTAGAGGTGTTTGTAGTATTCTCTGATGGTAGTTTGTATTTCTGTTGGATCGGTGGTGATATCCCCTTTATCATTTTTTATTGTGTCTATTTGATTCTTCTCTCTTTTTTTCTTTATTAGTCTTGCTAGTGGTCTATCTATTTTGTTGATCCTTTCAAAAAACCAGCTCCTGGATTCATTAATTTTTTGAAGGTTTTTTTGTGTCTCTATTTCCTTCAGTTCTGCTCTGATTTTAGTTATTTCTTGCCTTCTGCTAGCTTTTGAATGTGTTTGCTCTTGCTTTTCTAGTTCTTTTAATTGTGATGTTAGGGTGTCAATTTTGGATCTTTCCTGCTTTTTCTTGTGGGCATTTAGTGCTATAAATTTCCCTCTACACACTGCTTTGAATGTGTCCCAGAGATTCTGGTATGTTGTGTCTTTGTTCTCGTTGGTTTCAAAGAACATCTTTATTTCTGCCTTCATTTCATTATGTACCCAGTAGTCATTCAGGAGCAGATTGTTCAGTTTCTATGTAGTTGAGCAGTTTTGAGTTAGATTCTTAATCCTGAGTTCTAGTTTTATTGCACTGTGGTCTGAGAGATAGTTTGTTATAATTTCTGTTCTTTTACATTTGCTGAGGAGAGCTTTACTTCCAACTATGTGGTCAATTCTGGAATAGGTGTGGTGTGGTGTGGTGCTGAAAAAAATGTATATTCTGTTGATTTGGGGTGGAGAGTTCTGTAGATGTCTATTAGGTCCGCTTGGTGCAGAGCTGAGTTCAATTCCTGGTTATCGGTGTTGACTCTCTGTCTCGTTGATCTGTCTAATGTTGACAGTGGGGTGTTAAAATCTCCCATTATTAATGTGTGGGAGTCTAAGTCTCTTTGTAGGTCACTCAGGACTTGCTTTATGAATCTGGGTGTTCCTGTGTGGGGTGCATATATATTTAGGATAGTTAGCTCTTCTTGTTGAATTGATCCCTTTATCATTATGTAATGCCCTTCTTTGTCTCTTTTGATCTTTGTTGGTTTAAAGTCTGTTTTATCAGAGACTAGGTTTGCAACCCCTGCCTTTTTTTGTTTTCCATTTGCTTGGTAGATCTTCCTCCATCCTTTTATTTTGAGCCTATGTGTGTCTCTGCACATGAGATGGGTTTCCTGAATACAGCACACTGATGGGTCTTGACTCTTTATCCAATTTGCCAGTCTGTGTCTTTTAATTGGAGCATTTAGTCCATTTACATTTAAAGTTAATATTGTTATGTGTGAATTTGATCCTGTCATGATGATGTTAGCTGGTTATTTTGCTCGTTAGTTGATGCAGTTTCTTCCTAGTCTCGATGAACTTTACATTTTGGCATGATTTTGCAGTGGCTGGTATCGGTTGTTCCTTTCCATGTTTAGCGCTTCCTTCAGGAGCTCTTTTAAGGCAGGCCTGGTGGTGACAAAATCTGTCAG
Source organism: Homo sapiens (assembly GCF_000001405.40). NCBI lineage: Eukaryota > Metazoa > Chordata > Mammalia > Primates > Hominidae > Homo > Homo sapiens. The sequence goes on along the minus strand of NT_187497.1, from coordinate 154,820 downwards.
CATTTGCTTGTCTGTAAAGGATTTTATTTCTCCTTCACTTATGAAGCTTAGTTTGGCTGGATATGAAATTCTGGGTTGAAAATTCTTTTCTTTAAGAATGTTGAATATTGGCCCCCACTCTCTTCTGGCTTGTAGGGTTTCTGCCGAGAGATCCGCTGTTCATCTGATGGGCTTCCCTTTGAGGGTAACCCGACCTTTCTGTCTGGCTGCCCTTAACATTTTTTCCTTCATTTCAACTTTTGTGAATCTGACAATTATGTGTCTTGGAGTTGCTCTTCTCAAGGAGTATCTTTGTGGCGTTCTCTGTATTTCCTGAATCTGAATGTTGGCCTGCCTTGCTAGATTGGGGAAGTTCTCCTGGATAATATCCTGCAGAGTGTTTTCCATCTTGGTTCCTTTCTCCCCATCACTTTCAGGTACACCAAGCAGACGTAGATTTGGTCTTTTCACATAGTCCCTTATTTCTTGGAGGCTTTGCTCATTTCTTTTTATTCTTTTTTCTCTAAACTTCCCTTCTCGCTTCATTTCATTCATTTCATCTTCCATCGCTGATAACCTTTCTTCCAGTTGATCGCATCGGCTCCTGAGGCTTCTGCATTCTTCACGTAGTTCTCAAGCCTTGGTTTTCAGCTCCATGAGCTCCTTTAAGCACTTCTCTGTATTGGTTATTCTAGTTATACATTCTTCTAAATTTTTTTCAAAGTTTTCAACTTCTTTGCCTTTGGTTTGAATGTACTCCCATAGCTCAGAGTAATTTGATCGTCTGAAGCCTTCTTCTTTCAGCTCGTCAAAGTCATTCTCCATCCAGCTTTGTTCCGTTGCTGGTGAGGAACTGCGTTCCTTTGGAGGAGGAGTGGCACTCTGCTTTTTAGAGTTTCCAGTTTTTCTGTTCTGTTTTTTCCCCATCTTTGTGGTTTTATCTCCTTTTGGTCTTTGATGATGGTGATGTACAGATGGGCTTTTGTGTGGATGTCCTTTCTGTTTGTTAGTTTTCATTCTAACCGAGAGGACCCTCAGCTGCAGGTCTGTTGGAGTACACTGCCGTGTGAGGTGTCAGTGTGCCCCTGTTAGGGGGTGCCTCCCAGTTAGGCTGCTCGGTGGTCAGGGGTCAGGGACCCACTTGAGGAGGCAGTCTGCCCCTTCTCAGATCTCCAGTTGCATACTGGGAGAACCACTGCTCTCTTCAAAGCTGTCAGACAGGGACATTTAAGTCTGCAGAAGTTACTGCTGTCTTTTTGTTTGTCTGTGCCCTGCCCCCAGAAGTGGAGCCTACAGAGGCAGGCAGGCCTCCTTGAGCTGTGGTGAGCTCCACCCAGTTCTAGTTTTCAGGCTGCTTTGTTTACCTAAGCAAGCCTGGGCGATGGCGGGTGCCCCTCCCCCAGCCTCGCTGCGGCCTTGCAGTTTGATCTCAGACTGCTGCGCTAGCAATCAGCGAGACTCCGTGGGTGTAGGACCTTCCGAGCCAGGTGCGGGATATAATCCCGTGGTGCACCGTTTTTTAAGCCCGTCGGAAAAGTGCAGTATTCGGGTGAGAGTGACCCGATTTTCCAGGTGCCGTCCGTCACCCCTTTCTTTGACTAGGAAAGGGAACTCCCTGACCCCTTGCACTTCCTGAGTGAGGCAATGCCTTGCCCTGCTTCGGCTCTTGCACGGTGTGTGCACCCATTGACCTGAGCCCACTGTCTGGCACTCCCTAGTGGGATGAACCCGGTACCTCAGATGGAAATGCAGAAATCACCCGTCTTCTGTGTCGCTCACGCTGGGAGTTGTAGACCGGAGCTGTTCCTATTCAGCCATCTTGGCTCCTCCCCAAACAGGCTTTCTTTACTGAACAAAAGATGCACAGTCATGTAGATGCCCGGTCATAGGGATTGCATCTGAGCATTCCAGGTGTTATAATCGGGCATCTCAAATGGCAAACCAGTGAATTTGGGCAAGCCTTGTCAGCCAGACATCTGCCCCCCAGCCAGCAGTGGGGGTCATCTTGGTAGGGCTAGAGATGTCTACCACTGGTGAGAGCTAGGATGGTGTATAGCAAATGCCTATGACCTCCTTGAGCTTCAGTTAATGGGGTTTCAAGGGGATGAGCTGGACACCATGGTGGTTCCACTTGGCTCATGAGGATGCCCACAGCCTTCTGGTCTTCAGTAAATGTTCTGTTGTTGCACGATTCTCTCGGCACCGTGGGAGCCACTTCCTCTACTGTCACTGAAACACCCCTGGGATGTATATCTAAAAATTTGAACAGCTTTTGGTTAAATAAACTTAGAAAAAAGAAAACCTTATCTTCTTTTGTAACACTATTTACCCTGCCTACAGATTAGCTGACAAAACATGGCTGGAGAATGAGACTGTGAACTTTAACTCCATCCTCCAGCTAGATGGTTTCTGTGGAAATCAGGGAAAATGGTCTGAAGTATCCTATGTGCAAGACTTTCTGGCCTGACAACAAAACCCAGCTCTATGCAGCACCTGTGGGCTAAAGCCTAGTAAGCCAGAAAGCCCCTCAGAACCATTAGAAGATCATCTCTTATTAAGGGGAAGGGACCTCAGACCCCACAGCCCAACACCAGCTCCAGATAGGGGCCCTCAGGGGCACACACCTCCTTTAGAATCCCCAGCGTCTCCAAACTATCAGAGTCTTCTGTAGAATCTAAGCTTGTTTAACCTCCTCCTTATGCTCCTCTCTATCGGCCTTTGCCAGATACAATAGAGACCAGCCCAGCTGCAGTTACAGTGAGACTTCACACCATCCAGGGCCAGAGAAATTTCTCCCCGTACAGAAAGTCCCAAATGGAGAGAGGTCCACCAGTGTGCTTGTTCTACTCTCAATAAATGATCTAATACAATATAAGCAACAACTCTGATGGCCCTCAGACAACTTCAGCGCATTTACTGAAGGCTTCCAGGCTCTAACTTTGACCACCGTTCAACTGCACCATCCATAAACGAACCGAATGACTGCTGCCAACTTAGCTGCACAAAATTTTGCTTATTGGCAAAAAATAGAAAATACTTAAAGCATTTGTTGCTTTCAAAATGTTAATGCAAAATACTTTTGCAGCACAAATGTCACCATAAGGTGGAGCCTTGGGAATCCAGTATAAACTATCTCAGAAAGCCTCAATGGGTCTGCAACAAGCAGCAGAGGGCCTCAATAGACTTCAACAACATCTGGACTCCATGGCCACTGTAGTCCGACAAAACCAAAGAGCCTGGGATCTTCTCCCAGCTAGGCAAAGAGGAGGATGTTTACATCTAAAAGAAGAATGCTGTTTTTGAGATCAATCAGCCTGGTTTAATCCAAGAAAATGTTAATAATGTCATCACCCAGGCAGACAAAATTGAATCTCTAGGAACTTCCATGGGAACATGAAAGCAATGTCTGTTACCTGCCTTACTCTCTTTAATAGTAACAGTCATTACTATACTTTCAGCTTTTACTTTTGTTCCAATTTTGTTTAAAATGTTAACTGATTTCTTGCTGTCTTGCTTACGGCAACTCCATGTTTGCATGATGGTTTTGCAAGGCTTTCAACCTTTGCTGCCAACATCTTGCCCACTGGCTCCACGAATGACATGGTTTACACCCAGTTAGATAACACAGGAAGAAATTTTAGGGCCCAGGCTAGGCAGAAATAACACCCACTCAGCAGGAAACAGCTCCAGAAAAAATGACCTAGCCCCTCAACCTCCAATATGATTTTGACCCTAAGGTCTCTTAGGGGGAAATTGAGGCAGAATAGATAGTCAAGGAAATGACCATGATCTCAGGATACAGAAATGTGTGGAAAAGAGAGATCAGACTGTTACTGTGTCTATGTAGAAAGAAGTAGACATAAAAGACTCCATTTTGTTCTGCACTAAGAAAAATTATTCTGCCTTGAGATGCTGTTAATCTGTAACCCTAGCCCCAACCCTGTGCTCACAGAGACTTGTGATGTGTTGAGTCACGATTTAATGAATTTAGCGCTATGCAGAATGTGCTTTGTTAAAAAAGTGCTTGAAGGCAGTAAGCTTGTTAAAATTCATCACCACTCTCTAATCCCAAGTACCCAGGGACACAATACACTGTGGAAGGCAACAGGGACCTCTGCCTAGGAAAACCAGTTATTGTCCAATGTTTCTCCCCACGTGATAGCCTCAGATATGGCCTCCTGGGAAGGTAAAGACTTGGCCATTCTCCAGCCCGACACCCATAAAGGGTCTGTGCTGAGGAGGATTAGTAAAAGAGGAAGGCCTCTTTGCAGTTGAGATAAGATGAAGCCATCTGTCTCCTGCTCATCCCTGGGCAATGGAATGTCTTGGTGTAAAAACCGATTGTATGTTCTATTTACTGAGATAGGAGAAAACCACCTCAGGGCTGGAGTTGAGACATGCTGGCGGCAATACTGCTCTTTAATGCACCCAGATGTTTGTATACGTGCACATCAAGGCACAGCGCATTTTCTAACCTTGTTTATGACACAGAGACATTTCTTCACATGTTTTCCTGCTGACCCTCTCTCCACCATTACCTTATTGTCCTGCCATATCCCCCTCTCCAAGATGGTAGAGATAATGATCAATAAATACTGAGGGAACTCAGAGACCAGTGCCCGCGCGGGTCCTCCGCATGCTGAGCGCTGGTCCCCTGAGCCCAATTTTCTTTGTCTATACTTTGTCTCTGTGTCTCTTTCTTTTCTCAGTCTCTAGTTCCACCTGACGAGAAACACCCACAGGTGTGGAAGGGCAGGCCTCCCCTTCATTGAAACTGGCGACTGTACAGCCAAAACAATAAGCTTTAGCATTCGCATTGTAATTGGGCTCATTCAAGCAAAGTTATCTTCATTAAGGACTTTCTGTTCTAGAGAGCACGTGCATTTTGATTTTACCTGTCCTCAAACTTAACTTTTGCTTATTTTAATAGCAAAAATACACCCCCCAGCTGGGCATGGTGGCTCACACCTGTACTACCAGCACTTTGGGAGGCTGAGGGGTATGGATCACTTGAAACCAGAAGCTCAAGACTAGACTGGCCAACATAGTGAAACCCCGTCTCAACTAAAAATACAAAAATTAGCCGGGTTTGGTGGTGCATGCCTGTAATCCCAGCTACTCAGGAGGCCGAGGCATGAGAATGGCTTGAACTCGGGAGGCAGAGGTTGCAGTGAGGAGAGATTGCACCACCGCACCCCAGCCTGGGCAACAGAGTGAAACTCTGTCTCAAGCAAACAAACAAAAATACACTCCTGGCTACAGGTCTAAGATGCTAATGAGACATGCAACATATGAACAAGCATGTACAGCTACCGCACATGTGCACCCAATAGACCACTCAGAACAGGCTTACTAACAGCTCCTCTTCCCCTTTTCTTATTAATAATAACGTAAAACTCCCATAAGGGGGTTTCTCCAGCGACAATCCACACTGTCTCACTCTTATGAGCAGCCCGCCCTGGAATATCTCTCTCATGGTGTACTGTATTCTGCATTTAACTTTCAAACATTTTTTTTCTTCTCCAATAAATTATGTTGTACTTCTTTTCTGTGTGTCTCTTGTTTAAATTCTTATAAACTAAGAAGACAAGAACCGAGGTATCACATCAGCTGTCAACACAGCAATAAATCAGCCTCCTTCCTGGGGGCATAGTCCATGCAGAAAAGGAGAGTTGCATCACCTAGGTGCTGGACCCAGAAATATGTCACAATTTATCCTATACACGAAGTTAAGGTAATAGAGAAGAGTCATATTAAATAGTTTCTGGGCCCAGGGATATGTCACAATGACTCCTGTGAGCAGAGATCTGGCAGAATAATCCCATAACTGGTGTGCTGGAAACAGCGATTAGCCACCCTTTCATCTGTGGGCGTGACCCAGGCAAGAAAGAAGGGTCACGGCATTTAGGTGCTTGTTGCAGAGATATGTAACCATCTCTCTTATGGGTAAAGCCCAGGTAAGAGAGGAGAGTCACATCTCCAAGGTATTAACGTAGAAATATGTCACAAGAAACTTTTAGGCAGGGCCCATGCTGGATCTTCTTGTCTTCCAGATGTTAGGTCCAGTGATATATCAGAATACCCAAAATACACAGGGCTCAGTCAAAAAAGGAAAGTCACATCACCTAGGTGCTGGGTCTAGACATATGTCACGTCACGTCTCTTTTATGGGAAACGCTCAGGTAAAAAAGCAGGTCACATCAAATAGTTGTTAGGCCCAGAGATATGTCACATTGCCTCCTGCTTGAAGTGTCTAGGCCAAAGACTCACATCACCTCGGTGTTAGGCCAGTGTTAATATATAAACATTCAACCAGAGTTGAAATGGTGGCTCATTTCTAAGCCCAGCTTATAGACAAGGGAGGAGTCTCCTATCCTGACATAGTTAATTGTAATGATGTTGACTCTCATACCCGGGTTTAATGCCACAGACACGATCATGGGTCCCTACCAGCAGGAAGGTCTCAAAGTTGATTGCAACTTTCATTCATACTGTATAGCACCATTGGGTAGTACACAGAGAGTGCTAACTGGGCCGAGCACACAAGTGAGATTGTGGCACTCATATGCACACCCAGTCAACAGTAAATATTGTCATCCTCTCACATGAACACAGGTCACTGTTGAGGTTCTGAATCTCACACCTGTAGTCAGTCAAAGGTGGGAAGAAATGACTTATATATGGATACTCATGGGTTGGTGACTCTCAGACCAAGATTCAGCACAACTGTGAGGCTGTGACTTCACTAAGGTGACACAGTGTGCAGAGGAATTGAGGCTTTCATGCACAGATCCAGTCTGGTGTTGAGATGGTTACTCGTGGGCTTAGACCCAACATACAGGAGGTGTTGAATGTCATGCCTACAAGTGAGAGAGTTGTGGGATTGTTAATCTTACTCCTGGACGATTCTGCAGATTTCATGGTGAAATTTCCCAGTGCCTAGCACCTGAGTGACTTGACGCTCTTGCATGGACCCAGCCCACAGATATGGGTATTAACATATTGCTGAATCCAGCACATTGAGGGTGTAACTCTATTCTCCTTCCTTGGCACTGCCCACAGTAAGCATTTTGGCATATCGCTAGACCTTGCACCCAGGTGATGTGAGTCTCCTCTTCTGCCTTGGCGCTGCCCACAGGAAGCGTTATATATAGCTTGGCCTTGGACCCAGGTTATGTGAATCTCCTGCTTGTGCACTGCCCATATGGGACACTGCAGTATATTGCTGGGTCCACTACCCAGGTGTTGTAACTCCTCTGCCTGGGCCCTGCCTGCAAGGGGCATTGTGACATATCTCTGCACTTATCAGCCAGGTAATGTGATTCTCTTCTCCTGCCTGGTCCGTTTACACAGAAGGGATTGTGACATGTTGCTGGGCTTAGCACCAAGTTGCTGTGAATCTTCTGCCTGGATCAAGTTCACAGAAGGCCTTGTGACATACCTGTGGGTCCTTCACCTATTTGATGTGACTCTCCTGTCTTACCTGAGCATTGCCCATATGAAAGATTGTGACATATCTTTGGGCCAAGCACCCGGATGATGTGACTCTTCTCCCTGCCTGGGTCATGTCCACAGAGGGAAGAGTGACTTGTAACTGGGCACAGCACACAGGTGAAGTGATTCTTTTGCCTGGTTCCTACCTACAGGAGTCATTGTCAAATACCTCTGGGCCCATCAACTAGACTATGTGACTCTCTACTTCTTCCTAGGGCCTGCTCACATAAGGATTGTGACATATTACTTTGCCCAGTACTTACAAGATGTAACTTTTCTCTCATGTCTGAGCTCCGTCTTGGAGACGAATGTGGCTCATAGCTATGCCTAGCCCCTAGGTTCTGTAACTTGTCCTTTTTCAAAATCCTACCCACCAGGGGCATTGAAACATCTCTCTGGGCACTTCACTTAGGTAATGTTACCCTGTTGCCTGGAGCCTCCCCTCAGGTGGTATTGTGACATATTGCTGGACCCAGTACCTATGTGATATACTGTCCTTTCTTGCCTTGGTCCTGTATACATTGTGTATTGTAATATATGGCTGGGTTCGATGACTACATGATGTAATTCTTATGCGTAGGCCCTGCCCACAGGGACATTGTGACATTTCTTCAGCTCTGACTCTCCTCTTCTGCCTTAGCCCTGCCAAAAACGTGACATATAACTGGACCTAGTAACCAGCTAATATGAATCTCCTCTTTTGCCTGCACCCAGCATATTTTGTGTATTGTGACATATCATTTATCTCAACACCTGCAGGATGAAAGTCTCCTGCCTGAGCCCAGCCATCAGTCAAAATTGTCATTCTCCCACATGAACACAGCCCATGATTCAGGTTTTGAATCTCACACCCAGAGGCAGTCAAAAGTTGGAAAATTGGCTCTCATAAGTGGATGTTGTCCACAAGTGAGTATGTGACTCCCTGACCAAGATCCAAAACACTTGTGAGGCTGTGACTACAGTAAGATAACTCAGTTTTCAAAAGACATTAAGGCTGTCATGGAAAAATCCATTCCACCGTTGAGATTGTGATTTATGTACATAGATGCAACATACAGGAGGCCTTGACTCTCATACCCAGAACTGGCACTTATGTGGGCTTGTTAATCTCACCGAGGGACCTTCCTGCAGATGTGATTCTGACGTAAACCTCTATGTGTGATTCCTGCAGGTGTGATTCTGAAGTACACCTCTAAGTACGTTGCAGTGAGCCGAGATCGCGCCACTGCACTCCAGCCTGGGTGATAGAGTGAGACTCTCTCAAAAGAAAAAAAGAAAAAAGATGCAATGACCTTGCTTCCTGCCTCTGCCTGAAGTTAGTGGTCCCTGACTTCTGCTGGCACCCAGCAGTCAAAGTGGATGGGGTCGGGGCCAACTCTCAGCTGAGTACAGGGGCATTCCCCTCTCGCTACCTCACACAAGTGAAGCTCCTGGTCATGGCTAACCCGGAGCTGCTCTGTGTCCCAGAGTTCCTCGCTGAACCATTAATATTTATGGGGTACAGTGTGATGTTTCAATGCATCATACTACACGGTACAGTGAGATGCAGTGAAACATCACATTGTACTCCATAAACGTGTATAATTTTCATGTGTTAATTACATTATGTTTCACTGCATCATATTACACGGTACAGCGTGATGCAGTGAAACACCACACTATACTCCGTAAACATGTATAATTATCAAGTGTTAATTATATCACGTTTCACTGCATCACATTGTACCTTTTACACTGTACAGTGATCCAACCAGAGTGATTAGCATATTTAAAAATTTAAATATTTATTTCCTTGTCTAATAAAGTTCAAAATCCTCTGTTCAAGCTATTATAGAATAAACGGTACATTATTATTAGCTATAGTCATCGTACTGTGTAATAGAACACCAGGATTTATTCTTCCTAACTGTAATTTTGTACCCAGTGACAAAGCTCTCCCCACTCTCTCATCCTTCTGCCATCGATAACCTATGTTAACCACAATCCTACTCCCTACTTGTATGAGATGGACTTCTTCAGATGTCACATGAGTGAGAGCACGTGGTCTTTGTCTTTCTGTGACTGGCTTATTCCACTTAACATAATGTCCTCTACAGTCATCCATGTTGACACAAATTACGGAACTTCATTCTGTTTTATGACTGAACATTATTCCTGTGTGTGTGTGCGTGTGAGTGTGCGTGTGTGTATAGCATTTTCTTTATTCATTCTGTAGATGGGCCCTTATACACTGTTGGTAGGAATGTAAATTACTATAATCATTTCCCATTTCTATAGGGAGAACAGCATGGAGGTTTTTCAATTAATTACAAATAAAACTACCATATGATGCAGCAATCTCATTACTGGGTTTATATCAAAAGGAAATAAAACAAGCAAGTCAAAAAGATAACTGCACTTTCATGTTTTTTAAGCAGTATTCATAATAACCAAAACCATTATTTCTTCTTAGTATTTCTTAATTTACCTTTTTTTCATATATTACACCCTAAACTTTTAAAGGATTCATGTCTGGTTTCCAATTTCTGAAACTTACGAGTCACTGATTCTTTGACTATTGCCTTCCTGTTTAAAGAGTCTAGTAAAACAATTGAATGTCTTTTATTTCCTCTCAATCTAACCTTCATATATAAATATATTTATATTTTCTATTAATTTGCCTTGTATAACATATATGACTACATTAATTGTGATCAGCATTTCACTTTACTAGTCCTCTTTTCGGCTCAGCCTATTTTAATATGTAACTTATATGTTGTACATTAAATTGTTTTACAACACTTTCAATACTTTACTTTTCATTTGCCTCTTTTCCAAAGATAACTTGACAAGCTCGTAGTTTCTTTCTACATTATTTTGGTTTCTTGTTTTTCCATTATATTGACTTAAACATTTAAATGTAAATTCAATATCTGAGATTTATGTGCCATATTTCTTCTGATGCTTCACCCCAGTAGCTCATCTCTTTGTGTGCAACATAATCTATAATTTAATCATCACATATGGGAGACACCACATTCCAATGCCTGCAGGCAGTTCCTCTTTGTTTATTCCATTTGCCTTGTCAGAAGGGAACAACCCACATGGACCTGACATTCTTGTGATCAGACGCATCTGAGTGGAGCCCTGGCCTGTTAGGTTGATTTCTTCTCCAGCTCATTACCTTTATTTACTTCCAGTCCTGGGAAATTTTATTAATTTCATTTCAACTATATTAGGCATTCTGTGAATTCTTGTAACTTCTTGGTGATTTTAATTGTCTGCATTAAGTATTTAAAGTAAATTATTTTTCTGAAAAGCAGAAATATCCATAGTTGCATATATGAGTGAAATACTTTACAGAGATTTTCTATGGCATCTATCACTATCTCATGAGAAATTCCAAGTTTTTTCATTTGAAACACCCCTCTCATCAATAGACCATATTGTAATAATCTGTAGAATGTGATTACTTTTATGCCATTAGAAAATTAATTATATATTGTGTATATATTTTTGAAATACTCCACTGCAATAAATAGTATATGGTCAAAAGTATTGTTTTCTCTAAAATAAAACAAATATGAGTAAAATTATTTACCTGAATTTGGAATTTTTGTCTTCAATCGCCATTCTGTCTCATCAGCACTTCCTTAATCCATAAAAGATATCATTTTTATTTTTAATTCTTAATTTATAGAAATAAATTATTTAACGTTATCATGTTTTTATGGCAATGTAGGACATTTTTAATAAATATATTGAGCTTGAGGCCCTGGCTAAGTATTCCTTTTGTACAAGAAATCAGATTTTTCTGGCACAACTTCATTGCCTGCAATGGTATTTTTAAAAACTATGAATGTCAGCACACAGACTATTTCAACACTGTACTCTTTGTTCATGTATAAACATATCATTAGCTATGAAACAAACCAAATACAAATGCTGAATGTATAGTACATATCAACAAATTCAGATTCTTCATCAAAGAAAACAATAAAAGATGAATTTTCTATGACATGTCACCGTTCATTAGTTCTTTCATGTGATTTAGGCTATTCACATATTAGAAAATGTATGCACCACTATCCATGTTTTCTCAACATTTTTTGTATCTAGGTCCTGAAGGGCATAAAAAATGTATATTGTCAGATTTATTTTTATTGACTTTCAATGTTTCTTTTGCTGTATTTTCTGTGCATCTTAGTATGAATATATGGAGACAAGGACAAATGTACATTTAAGTGGTTATATGAATTTTGCTTATATGGCTAATTGCTTATATGGATGTTGTAAATGACAAGATAAAATAGTAAAGTTTGATAAACTTATCTGTGCCCTGTGAACTTTAGTTCACTTACTGTATAACTTAATTCAGGCACTAATAATTAGTTTAAAAAGTGTTTTTTTAAAAGCTGCCAACCACACTTTATTACACATTTCTGAATCAGGAAGGGGTAAATTGTGACATAGTTTTCTTGTGCCACTGAATTTTTTGAGGAGAAACGTTCTGCAATAAAATAAGAGTTTCCAAACTCTATTTTTAAAAAAGCTTGAGTTTTCTTCTGTGATTAACCTTCACTCCTCAGTCTCTTTTACCCAAGGAATGGTTCCTAGGTCATCTTTTGGAAGTTTAGTTTCTGGAAAGTTTTCAGCAAACCTCTCCTGTGCTTTGTCCTAGTTTCTGTTCTTGTTGTTTTGGAGAAGGTGAGCCTCTTTAATTGAGGATGGTTTGCCTGTCTCCAATCCTGCATGTGTCTGCCGAAGCTGAAGCTGTATCAGAGTTTTTATTCTCCCACCATCATTCCCCAGGCCTTCTCCTGTTTTCAACACATCTTTTTCAACATCTTCTGACTTTTGTCGCTATCAGTAATTTCAGAATGAACAGATGCAGGAGCATCATCTCTTTGGAAATTTCCTTCGCTTCCAATCTGCTCCCTATGTTTTCCAGCTCTGTCGTTATAGTTTACATTCTCTAGTATCTTATCATCTTCATAGTCTGTATTCTGTAAACCATATTTTACTCATATATTTTAAAAATCCTTTTCTTCTTTCCAACTCGTTTCCTTCTTAGTTAATGTTGGACCAACAAATGATTCATCTTTCTTATCAAGGAAAAGGTGAGCTCTAACCTACCCTGGTTCACATCCAACACAGCTATCACGTCAGGGTGAATATGATAAGATAAGGAGTTTCGATATCATGAACTTGCTGATCTGAAAGTTCAGTCACTCACTTTATTTGGAAGACTAACATCATTAGAGTAAGTCTGATAATAATCTGAGATTTGATTCTCAGAATCTTAATAGGAACCAGTGCTGTGGTCAAAATACAGTCCAGCATTTTCATCATAACTAAATCCAGTCTGTGATAAAGCCGCTTCTGCTGTAGCTCTCAAACTTCCAGCTAATGACGGACCTTCTAAGGATATATCTTGTGCTGCTAATGCAGATGCTGGCTCCTGTGAATTTGAGGCAAATGACCCTCTTGTCTACATTCAACATTTGCTGTTTTATCAGTAGAAGGGTGAGCATCATTTTCCATTTGTAATTGGTCTTAAGAATTCAAAGCAGGAGTTTCAATATCCTGATCTTGCTGATCTGACAGTTCAGTCACTCACTTTACTTGGAAGACTAACATCATTAGAGTAGGTCTGACAATAATAATCTGAGATTGACCAAGGATCATGGTTCTCTGTGAGTACTTCTACATCACACTTTCATTATCTCCATTCCCCCCACAGTGGAGCACGTTACTGAGTTCTTCCAGCTGCGTGAGGAGCTCCTGGCCGTTGTCCGTGTCGCTCTGAGCAGCCTTTCTGTGCAAGGCCAGCTTCTCCCCTTCCCGCACCTGCCGCCGGCAGCTCCGCAGTCGCTTTCCAGCTTCTCCGCCCTCCTTCTCTGGGGGCCCGCTGGGGTTCGGGGAGAGGGAGGGGCGGCAAAAGCGAAGGCGCTGGCGGGGGGAACGGGCCCGGGGCCCTGAGTTCGGGCGCAAGACGGCTGCAGCCTCGAAGGGGCTGCGCGGGGCCGAAGCGCAGAATTGAGGAGCCACAGGCCACGGGGACGCACGGGCAGCCACAGGCAGCCTCCGCGGCCTGGACACCACGAAACGCGAAGCCTAACGGGGCTGCGGCAAAGAGCAAGGGGACTGCGATGGCCCTGCCCTATCTTCGCGGCCTGGAATCCCGGGAAGGATTGTACCTTCGCCAGCCATTGGGGCCGGGGGAGGAGCGTCGAAGTTCAGGGGCCAGAAGCGCTCTGGCTGTTCTCGAGTTGAGCTGGAAACAGTGGCCAAGAGTGTTTTTTTTTCCGGAATTCTTTTTTTTTTAAATTTTATTATTATTATACCTTAAGTTTTAGGGTACATGTGAACAATGTGCAGGTTTGTTACATATATATATACATGTGCCATGTTGGTGTGCTGCACCCATTAACTCGCCATTTAGCATGAGGTATATCTCCTAATGCTATTCCTCCCTCCTCTCCCCACCCCACAACAGTCCCCGGAGTGTGATGTCCCCCTTCCTGTGTCCATGTGTTCTCATTGTTTATTTCCCACCTATGCGTGAGAAAATGCAGTGTTTGGTTTTTTGTCCTTGCAATACTTTGCTGAGAATGATGGTTTCCAGTTTCATCTGTGTCCCTACAAAGGAAATGAACCCAACCTTTTTTATGGCTGCATAGTGTACCCCGGTGCTTATGTGCCACATTTTCTTAATCCAGTCTATCGTTGTTGGACATTTGGGTTGGTTCCAAGTCATTGCTATTGTGAATAGTGCCACAATAAACATACGTGTGCATGTGTCTTTATAGCAGCATGATTTATTATCCTTTAGGTATATACCCAGTAATGGGATGGCTGGGTCAAATGGTATTTCTAGTTCTAGATCCCTGAGGAATCGCCACACTGACTTCCACAATGTTTGAACTAATTCACAGTCCCACCAACAGTGTAAAAGTGTTCCTATTTCTCCACATCCTCTCCAGCACCTGTTGTTTCCTGACTTTTTAATGATCACCATTGTAACTGGTGTGAGATGGTATCTCATTGTGGTTTTGATTTGCATTTCTCTGATGGCCAGTGATGATGAGCATTTTTTCATGGGCTTTTTGGCTGCATAAATGTCTTCTTTTGAGAAGTGTCTGTTCATATCCTTCACCCACTTTTGATGGGGTTGTTTTTTTTCTTGTAAATTTGTTTGAGTTCATTGTAGATTCTGGATATTAGCCCTTTGTCAGATGAGTAGGTTGTGAAAATTTTCTCCCATTTTGTAGGTTGCCTGTTCACCCTGATGGTAGCTTCTTTTGCTGTGCAGAAGCTCTTTAGTTTAATTGGATCCCTTTTGTCAATTTTGGCTTTTGTTGCCATTGCTTTTGGTGTTTTAGACATGAAGTCTTTGCCCATGCCTATGTCCTGGATGATATTGCCTAGGTTTTCTTCTAGGGTTTTTATGGTTTTAGGTGAAAGGTTTAAGTCTTTAAACCATCTTGAATTAATTTTTGTATTGACCACATAGTTGGAAGTAAAGCACTCCTCAGCAAATGTAAAAGAACAGAAATTATAACAAACTGTCTCTCAGACCACAGTGCAATCAAACTAAAACTCAGGATTAAGAAACTCACTCAAAACCGCTCAACTACATGGGAACTGAACAACCTGCTCCTGAATGACTACTGGGTACATAACAAAACGAAGGCAGAAATAAAGATGTTCTTTGAAACCAATGAGAGCAAAGACACAGCATACCAGAATATCTGGGACACATTCAAAGCAGTGTGTAGAGGGAAATTTATAGCACTAAATGCCCACAAGAGAAAACAGGAAAGATCCAAAATTGACACCCTAACATCACAATTAAAAGAACTAGAAAAGCAAGAGCAAACACATTCAAAAGCTAGCAGAAGGCAAGAAATAACTAAAATCGGAACAGAACTGAAGGAAATAGAGACACAAAAAACCCTTCAAAAAATTAATGAATCCAGGACCTGTTTTTTTGAAAAGATCAACAAAATTGATAGACCACTAGCGAGACAAATAAAGAAGAAAAGAGAGAAGAATCAAATAGACACAATAAAAAAATGATAAAGGGGATATCGCCACGGATCCCACAGAAATACAAACTACCATCAGAGAATACTAAAAACACCTCTATGCAAATAAACTAGAAAATCTAGAAGAAATGGATAAATTCCTCGACACATACAACCTCCCAAGACTAAACCACGAAGAAGTTGAATCTCCAAATAGACCAATAACAATCTCTGAAATTGTGGCAATAATCAATAGCTTACCAACCAAAAAAAGTCCAGGACCAGAAGGATTCACAGCCAAATTTTAGCAGAGGTACAAGGAGGAACTGGTACCATTCCTTCTGAAACTATTCCAATCAATAGAAAAAGAGGGAATCCTCCCTAACTCATTTTATGAGGCCAGCATCATCCTGATACCAAAGCCTGGCAGAGACACCACCAAGAAAGAGAATTTTAGACCAATATCCTTGATAAACATTGATGCAAAAATCCTCAATAAAATACTGGCAAACCAAATCTAGCAGCACATCAAAAACTTATCCACCATGATCAAGTGGGCTTCATCCCTGGGATGCAAGGCTGGTTCGACATACGCAAATCAATAAATGTAATCCAGCATGTAAACAGAACCAAAGACAAAAACCATATGATTATTTCAATAGATGCAGAAAAGGCCTTTGACAAAATTCAACAACTCTTCATGCTAAAGACTCTCAATAAATTAGGTATTGATGGGACGTATCTCAAAATAATACGAGCTATCTATGACAAACACACAGCCAATATCATAATGAAAGGACAAAAACTGGAAGCATTCCCTTTGAAAACTGGCACAAGACAGGGATGCCCTCTCTCACCACTCCTATTCAATATAGTGTTGGAAGTTCTGGCCAGGGCAATTAGGCAGGAGAAGGAAATAAAGATATTCTATTAGGAAAAGAGGAAGTCAAATTGTCCCTGTTTGCAGATGACATGATCGTATATCTAGAAAACCCCATTGTCTCAGCCCAAAATCTCCTTAGGCTGATAAGCAACTTCAGCAAAGCCTCAGGATACAAAATCAATGTGCAAAAATCACAAGTATTCTTATACACCAATAACAAACAGTGAGCCAAATCATGAGTGAACCCCCATTCACAATTGCTTCAAAGAGAATAAAATACCTAGGAATTCGACTTACAAGGGATGTGAAGGACCTCTTCAAGGAGAACTACAAACAGCTGCTCAATGAAATAAAATAAGATACAAACAAATGGAAGAACTTTCCATGTTCATGGGTAGGAAGAATCAATATCGTGAAAATGAACATACTACCCAAGGTCATTTATACATTCAATGCCATCCTCATCAAGATACCAATGACTTTCTTCACTGAATTGGAAAAAAAAAATACTTTAAGTTTTATATGGAACCAAAAAAGAGCCTACATCGCCAAGTCAATCCTAAGCTAAAAGAACAGAGCCGGAGGCATTACACACTACCTGACTTCAAACTATACTACAAGGCTACAGTAACCAAAACAGAATGACACTGGTACCAAAACAGAGATATAGACCCATGGAACAGAACAGAGCCCTCAGAAATAATGTCACATATCTACAACCATCTGATCTTTGACAAAGCTGACTAAAACAAGCAATGGGGAAAGGATTGCCTATTTAATAAATGGTTTACAAAAATTAAGAAGCCAAGAGTGTTTTAAATCGAGTTTCCAAGTGGCTAGATATGACCTGCTGGTCACTCTTATATTTTTTCTCCTATTTTTTTCTCCATTCATTGAGCTATGTTTGACAAATTGAAAAGTGTATATTTTTAGGGTGTACAAGAGGGTTTTGAGATGTGTATACATCTTTAAATTATCTCAATTAAGCTAGTTACCATATGTGTCCCCTCACATAGTTAATACATTTCTGTGTGTGTGTTGAGAGAACCTGAGATCTACTTTTGCAACAAATTTCAAGTACACAGTATTGTTAACTATAGTCACCATTGTGTACATTAGGTCCCCAGCAGTTACTCACCTTATAACTGAAAGTGAACCCCTTCCATGGATATCTCCCCACTTTCCCTCTTACTAGCCCATGGGGACCACCGTTCTACTCTCTTTCCATGACTTTTTAATTTTTATTTGCTTTTCTAGATTTTACATACAAACGAGATCATGCAGTAATTGTCCTTCTGTATTCAGCTTAAGCTTTCTCTTAGCATAATATGTTCAAAATTTATCAGTATTTTTTGTAAATGAAAGTTTCATTTTTTATTAAAGCTGAAATTATATACCTCTCAGTTTATTTATTTATCTGTATCAGAGGAGTGCAGATACCCTTGACGATACTGACTTTATTTCCTTTGGCTATATACTCCGAATTGGGATTAATGGTAGTTCTAGTTTAAAAATTATAAGGAACCTCCATGCTGTTTTTCATAATAGCTGCACCATTTGACATCCTCAGCAACAGTGTGCAAGTGTTCTCTTTTCTCTGCACCCTAATGATTTTATCCTTTGACTTTTTGATAATAGGTATCCAAACACCACGATAAGGTGATACCTCATTGTGATTTTGATTTTAATTACTCTGATAATTAGTGATGTTGAACATTTTTTATATATCTATTGGCCATTTGTATATCTTTGGAAAAATTGCTATTTATATATTTTACCCAATTATTAATCAAGAAATTGCTTTTAATTCTGCTGTGGGTTCTTCTTTTGTATTGAATAGTATGATATACGTTTTGGATAGCAACATATTATCCCACCTATGGTTTAGAAATGTTTTCTCCCATTTCATATAATGCCTTTATATTTTGCTGATTGTTTCCTTTATTGGGCAGAAACTTTTTACTTTGACATAGTTCCACTTGTTCATTTTTGCATTTGTTGACTGCGCTCCTGCTGCCAAATCCAAAGCATCATTGCCATGACCAGTGTCAAGGAGGTTTTTCCCCATTTTTTTAGAGGATTCATGATTTCAGTTCTTATGTTTAAGTCTTTATTTCATTTCAAATTCATTTTGTGATGGTATGAGAGAAAGGTGTACTTTTTGTCTCTGCATATCTAGTTTTTCCTACACCACTCCTTGATGTGTTTATCCTTTCTCTATTCTGTGGGATAGGTTGACTGTATATTTGTGAGTTTATTTCTGGGTCCCCTATTCTGTTATATTGGTTTTTATGTAGGTACTATACTATTTTGATGGCTATAGTTTTGTAATACAGTTTGAAATCAGGAAGTGGGAGGCTTCCAGCCTTTTTGTTCTTCTCAGTATTTGGCTATTTGAGGTCTTTTGTGATTCCATACTAATTTTAAAATAGTTGTTCTGCATTTTTAATAAAATGGCATTAAAATTTTGATAGAAATTTATTTAACCCTGTAGATCACTTTGTGTACTATGGATATTTTAACAATATTTTTAGAATCCATGCATACAGGATATATTTCCCATTTTGTATTCTTCATTTTCTTTCCTCAACATTTTATAGTTTTCAGTATGCTGATTTTTCATATTCTTTTTTCTAAGTGTTCCATTCCAACACTTTGTTCCTAAGTGTTCCATTCTATTTGATAATATCGTAAATGGAATTATCTTTATTCCTTTTTCAGATATTTTATTGTTACTGTAAAAACATGCACCTGATGTTCATATGTTAATATTGTATCCTGAAAATTTACTGAATTGGTTAGTTATAACAGGTTTTTTTTTTCTTTGTGGTAAAATGGTGGGTATTCTGAACTCTGGTTAAACTTTAAATTGATAGTTGCTATTATCATTTCAAAATTATTTAAAGTATAACCAGATGGATTCCTTCTTTCATGAATTCAAGTCTTCCCATTCAAAATAATTATGTGTGGTTGACCTGGGTCCTGGGGATTTGGGTCCCCCCGTGGGAGCCAGGAGATTCGGTCGGGGGTGGGAGGGAGAAGCGGTCAGAGAGGGGACAGAGCTGGGGAAGCAAAGAGGGGCTCCAGGACAGCCAGGAGGAGAGAGGGTCGTGTCGGAGACCCAGTGGGGAGAGAGAGTGGGCCAGAAAAGGAAGAAGGGTGAGAGGGGGAAACAGGACAGCTTCCCGGCGCGGCAGGGAATTTTGCTGAAACTGAGGGCCCCAGGGAACAGCGTGGGCAGGGTGGGAGGGAGTGGAGAGGACCCAACAGACTCCAAGGTCAGTGTGGAGAAAGGGACATTTCCCGGTTCATTCGCCTCTGCCCAGCGTTCTGCGGGCATGGAACCCCCAGGGGCAGGGGAGGAGGTGGCTCCCGGCGGGCTCGGAGAACTAAGGGGTGCACACCCACTTCGCAGGGCGGGGGTGAAAGGGGAAGACTGAGAGGGCTGTGGATCTCGCTGGCCCCGTGGGTGGGCGCGGGAGTGCGGGGGGCGGGTCCGAGCTCAGGGGCCCAGCGCCGGGGCCTGCAGGTGGTCCTGGAGGAATCTACAAGCACCAGCCAGTGCAGCAGGATTTCCAGAAAACCAGTGTGGATGGCGCCCTGGACACGCCCTTCCCAGCTGGAACATGTGTGAGGCTGAAATTTAAGCTCCGGCAGACAGAGAAGTGGCCGGAGAAAGGATTGGAAGAAACCCAAGTGCCAAGTCCAGCCCGAGGGGAGGAAGCAGAAATGGCTGACCTGCATCAAACTGGGCTGTCAGGATAAGGTTCTGGGCAGGATGGTTCGCTGCCCTCCAGAGACGCAGACTCGGCAGGAGCCTGAGGAGCACCAGGAGACCCGGTGCAGCTGGGCGGAGCGGGCGGTAAGGACCCCAGAGCTGCTGCTTCCCTGCACAGTTCGCCTTCTCCAAGGCCCGGCCCCCAGCGGAGTCCAGCGCTGAATCGCATGGCGCCCACTGGAAGCCCTGGCGGGGGTAACCAGTGGAAGATCTCACCTCCCAGGGAGAAGACTCCACTGTATCCTCAGTTAATAAAACTGTTCTCTCTCCCCAAAAATAAATAAATAATTTTGTCTGGTCTTTGAAAATGTGTATCCTCTGTCTACTGGTCAAAATGCTGCCCATTTATCCATATGCCTAATTAGTCAAACTTTTTAACCTTGTTTTTTATTATGAAACAAAACAGTAAATTTGTTAATGGTTTAGCTATCATCTAATATGATTGAAAATATGTCAATTTGTCATTGCCGATGAACCTTTGTGTTATTTATTGTACTGTTACATATTCTGTCCATAAATGTCTAAGGGGCTTAGAACCTTGCCTAACATATTGTATGTGCTAAGTACCAACTACTCTAATGCGTCAAATTGTCTTTCTATACCATTCTTAAAATAGAATATTTTTTATTTATTTTTATTAAAAATTTTTTTGCCTAATCTAATTATTTACGAAAATTATGAGGTCTACTCAGTTTGTCCTCTTGATAAAAGCCAAAGTTTTTTTCTTCTCTCTTATTTTTTTGAGACGGAGTCTCCCTCTGTTCCCCAGACTGGAGTGCAGTGACACAATCTCGGCCCACCACAACCTCCACTTCCCGGGTTCAAGTGATTCTCCTGCTTCAACCTCCCGAGTAACTGGGACTACTATGCTCCACCATGCCAGGCTAATTTTTGTATTTTTAGTAGAGACGGGGTTTCACTATATTGGCCAGGCTGGTCTTCAACTCCTGACCACGTTAACTGCCCGCATTAGCCTCCCAAAGTGCTGGGATTATAGGCTTGAGCCACTGCACCAGGCCTTTTTTTTCTCTATATTAATACGTTAAAGAGTACAAATGCAGCTCCCTCACAGAAGCATGTTGCATAATGATGAAGTATGGGCTTTTGGTGTGACAACATCATCTGAATGCTCTTTATTGTCCCAATTAGTTATTTTCTCATTCCTAAACCCTCTGCCAACCTCCCAACTTTCTGAGTCTCCAGTGTCTATTTTTCCAGTCTCTGTATCCAAGTGTATGCATAATTGAGTTCACACTTACAAGTGAGAAAATGAAGAATTTGATTTTCTGTTTCTGAGGTTTTTCACTTACAATAATGGCCTCTGGTTTTATTCATGTTGTGCAAAAGACGTGATGTTATTCTTCTTCATGGCTGAGTAGCATTCCATGGTATAAACGTATAGCACACTTTCTTTATTCGATTATTGACTGATAAATTTAAATTGATTTCATATATTGGTTATTGTGAATAGTGTTGCAATAAACATATGAGTGTGGGTATTTTCTTTGTGTAATAAATTATTTTCCTTTGGGTAGATACAAAGTAGTGGGACTGCAGAATCAAATGGAAGTTCTACTTTTAGTCTTTTTTGAAATCTCCATACAGTTTTCCATAGAGGTTGTAGAAAGTTACATTCCCACAAGCAATGTCTAAGTGTTCTCTTTTCTCTGTATCCTTGCCAATATTTCATTTTTCTGCTTTTCAGTAATAGCAATTCTGAATGGTGTAAGTTGGTATCTCATTGTGGTTTTTAATTGGCATTTCTCTGATCATTGACAACGTTGAGCATCTTTTACGTGCTTGTTGACCATCGTTGTCTTTTTTTATTTAAATGTTCATGTTCTTTGCTTGCTCATTGTCTTTTTTTTAAAAAATGTTCATGTTCTTTGCTTGCTTTTTAAGGTTATTTGTTTTATTTTTATTTTATTGAGCTGTTTGAGTTCTTTGTATATTCTGGATGTTAGATCTTTGTCACATGCAAAACTTGTAAACATTATCTCGTTCCATAGGTTTTCTGTTCACTGTGTTAATTAAAAAGCATTTTTAGGAGATTTTTAGTTTAATTAAGTTCCTTTTGTCTATTTTTGTTATTGTTACATCTGCTTTTGAGATCTTAGTCATAAATTCTTTGTCCAAGTCAATCTCTAGAAGAATTTATCCTAGCATTTCTCCTAGCATTTTTATAGTTTCAGGTCTTACATTTTAGTCTTTTAATCCATATTTAGTTGACTTTTGCATATGGTGGGACATAGGGGTCCCATTCCTTACTTCTGCATACGGAAATATAATTTTTCCAGCACAATTTATTGACTAGGATGTCATTTCTCCAGTGTATGTTTTTGCTGACTTTGTAAAATATAAGTTGTTTGTAGGTATGTGGCTTTATTTCTGGGTTCTCTATTCTGTACCATTGATCTATGTGTCGATTTATATCAGTACCATGCTATTTTGGTTACTAAAGCCTTCTAGTATAATTTTAAGTCAGATAATGTAATATCTCCAGCTTTGTTCTCTTTGCTTAGATTTGCTTTGGCTATTCAGGCTCTTTTTGTGGTTCCATGTGAATTTTAGATTTTTTTTTCTAATTTTATAAGAAATAACATTGGCATTTTGGTAGGAATTGCATTTAACATGTAGATTGCTTTGGGCAGTAGAGTCATTTTAATAATCATAATTCTTCCAATCCATGAGCATGGGATGTTTTTCTCATTTGTGTCATGTACAATTTCTTTCATCAGTGTTTTGTAGTTTTCCTTGTAGGGATCTGTCATCTCTTTGACTAATTGTATTTCTAAGCATTTTACCTTTTATGTAGCTATTGTAAAAGGAAGTGACATTTTAATTCGGTTCTCAGCTTGATCATCATTAGTGTATAAAAATGCTACTAATTTCTGTAAGTTGATTTTTGCATTCTGAAACATTATTAAATTTATTTATCAAATCTAAGAGTTTTTTTGGTGGTCTTTACATCTTTTGTATATATGATTATTATGTAATCATCAAAGAGGGAAAATTTGACTTTCCAATTACAACCACATAGAGGATCCCACCAAGACCAATAGACAGAGTCTCTGGGGAGGGCACAGGTGATGGTATTTCTTTAAGCTGGCCATATGATTATGGCTGGAAGCATGGGCCGAGAGCCACTTAGCTAAGCATTGCCTCTCAAGTTTCTAAGTTTCTTCTTTCTTCCTTCCTTCTTTTGACAGAGTTTTCACTCATTGTCCAGGCAGGCGTGCAGTGGCGCCATCTTGGCTCACTGCAACCTCCACCTCCCAGGTTCAAGTGATTCTCCAATCTCAGCCACACGAGTAGTTAGGATTACAGGCACCAGCCACCACACCTGGCTAATTTTTGTATGTTTTAGTAGAGACATGGTTTGTCCATGTTGCCCAGGCTGGTCTTGAACCCCTGACCTCAGGTGGTCTGCCCACTTTGGCCTCCCAAAGTGTTGGGATTACAGGCGTGAGCCACCACGCCCGGTTGCTCCTCAAGTTTCAATGTGCCTATGAATTATTGCTGATTCCCGACTCTCTCTTAGAGATGTGATTCTGAAGGTTTGGAAGGGGTCCGTGAATTGGCTTCTTTAAAAAGTCTCCTCTTAATGCTGATGTTTCTTCCACTACATCCAATATAGTAGCACTCAGCTAGCGAAAGTAGGCACAGCACAGAGCTCATGACACCCAACACTCTTACCACAACACAAGTACTTTTGGCCCAAAGTGGAAACCACCAATCACCTTTTTCAAACATGTCATTTTCTGCTGGCTCTTTACAGTTTAGAAAGCCTAGAGAAGGCACCAATGTTTGAGTAAGTCTGCATTTGGAAAACATGTACACATGAGTTAATACAATCTTTATTGAGCACGTACTATGTGTTCAGAAGTCTGTTACAGAGCACTGTTCAGGAAATATTACATGATGTGAGTTAGTCCTCATAGCACACTGGCAGCTGGGTGCTAAGTTTTCTGTAATTTTCAGGATTTAAATGACAGGCCTAGCATTTCTATTTTTTCTTCCATTTTAAAAAGTATTTACCTGAAAAACAAAATGTGCAGAATAAAAGCTATGTCGACAGATGCAAGGGATAGAGAAAAAAGGGTGAACTGTTCAGAGAGATGTTTTATATTTATATTTACTTTCTGTGCCTTGTGTAGCAGCCACTGGATTTGCAAGAATGGAAAACAAGTTGCTAGATAGGATGCCTCTAGAAGCACTGGCTTCAATAGAAAAGAAATTATGGTCCCCAAATATGCAATGATTTTCTTCCATTTATCTGCTTTTCCACTTTAGGAAATTGTGGGCACCAACTCAGGAGGCAGCAGGAGCCCCCGCCCGAATCTCTGGTCTCCTTTAATCAGTTCTGAGGCAGCAGGAGCCCCCGCCCAAATCTCTGATCTCCTTGAATCAGTTCTGTGAGAAAAGATTCTAGGGTGAGGCCAGACCTGGGTGAAGCCATAGAAGAGGGTGGATCTGGGCAGGGCTGGAACAGAAAGTGGACCCCATGTTTCAGATGTCCATGCTGGTGGAGTATTTCTAGTTCTGTCTTTCCTAAGCCTGCCTAACAGAGACTTGACTCTTAGAGCTTGTGTAATTTTAATCTGGTTTAGCCACTTCCCTGTCAATTTTTATAACACATGATAAAAAGAAACTTAAGTAAAACTCTTAGGATTTTTTAGGATAATTATATGAGAAGCTAAAAACTCATGCCAGACGCAGTGGCTCATGCCTGTAATCCGAGTATGTTGGGAGGCCAAGGCAGGCGAATCACGAGGTCAGGAAATCAAGACTATCCTGGCTAACATGGTGAAACCCCGTCTCTACTAAAAATACAAAAAATTAGCTGGGTGTGGTTGTCGGTGCCTGTCGTCTCAGCTACTTGGGAGGCTGAGGCAGGAGAATGGCATCAGCCTGGGAGGCGGAGCTTGTGGTGAGTTGATATTGTGCCACTGCACTCCAGCCTGGGCGACAGAGTGAGACTCTGTCTCAAAAAAAAAAAAAAAACAAAACTTATTTTTACCAAAATAAAAGAAACAGAAATAACCACAACAATAACAATAATTCTTCTGTCCATGAATAGCCCTTCAGGTGGTGACATCAGAACTCAGAGGAACAGCATAAGGGAAGTGGAGCAAATGCAGCCAAAGTCCCCTGTGCAGCTCCCTTCTCCCGTCCCACCACAGGATGCTGAATTCAGCCATTAAGCCGTTTGTACTAGATGGAAAGTTTCTGGACAGTAGAAACCATGAATTCTTCATCTGTTTTTCTGATGGTCATGTGATGTAGTTTAGATGCCCCTCTAACTCTCATATTGAATTTTAATCCCCAATGTGGCAGGTGGGGTCTGAGGAAGAGGTGGTTGAATCATGGGGTGTGGCCCTCATGGCTCTGTGCCATCCTTGTGATAGTGAGTACTCATGAGATCTGGTTGTTTAGAAGTATGGCCCATCCCTCCCTCATTTTTCTTGCTCCTGCTTCTATCATGTGAGATGCCTGCTCTTCTTTCATCATAATTGTAAGCTTCCCGAGGCCTTCCCAGAGGCCGACGCTGGTGCTATGCTTCCTGTACAGCCTGCATAACCATGAGCCAATCAAACCCTTTTCTTACACATTACCCAGACTCAGATTTTTGAAATAGCAACGCAATAATAGCTTAATACAACATATGAAAAGAAGGCAATGAATATATTTATCAGTTTGAGTCTCCAGGCCTCTGCCTTGCTTCAACTCAAAGAGCAGGAAGTGAGCAACCCCTATCTACTGCTCTTGATCATGGGAGAATCTTCGGTTCATCTTAAAACATTTCAGTCAAAAGCCCCGTGTTTTATGTAGAAGAAGAAGGGTGTCTGAAAGAATGGGTCGCTTTATTTATTTTTATTTCTTAGACAGGGTCCGTTTCCCTGTCATTCTGGCTGGGGTGCTGTGGCTTACTACAGCTTTGATATTCTGTGCTCCAGCGATTCTCCCACCTCAGCCTCCCAAGTAGCTGGGACCACAGTTGCACACTACCACAACTGGATAATATTTGTATTTTTGGCAGAGATGAGGTTTTGTTACGTTGAGCAGGCTTGTCTTTAACTCCTGAGCTCAAGTGATCCCCCATCCTCCACCTTTCAAAGTGTGAAATTACAGGTGTTAGCCACCACACCGGGCAGATAGGTCTTAACTAATTTCAAACAGGGTACCTGAGCATGGAAGACATACTCTTAATTTTTTTTCCTAATACAATATTTGACAGTTATGAGGGAATTAGTCAAGATGGCTGTATAGGTACAGCTCCAGTCTACAGCTCCCAGAGTGAGCGATGCAGAAGATGGGTGATTTCTGCATTTCCAACTGAGGTACTGGGTTCATCTCACTGGGGAGTGCTGGACAGTGGGTGCAGGACAGTGGG
>NT_187497.1:126183-127786 GCF_000001405.40 Homo sapiens | reverse complement strand
ACAAAGGGAAACCAATCACACTAACAGCAGACATCTCAGCAGAAACTCTACAAGCCAGAAGAGAGTGGGGGCCAATATTCAACATTCTTAAAGAAAAAAACTTTCAACCCAGAATTTCATATCCAGTCAAACAAGCTTCATCAGTGAAGGAGAAATAAAATACTTTACAGACAAGCAAATGTTGAGAGATTTTGTCACCACCAGGCCTGCCCTAAAAGAGCTCCTGAAGAAAGCACTAAACGTGGAAAGGAAAAATTGGTACCAGCCACTGCAAAAACATGCCAAATTGCAAAGACCATTAAGGCTAGGAAGAAACTGCATCAACTAACGAGCAAAATAACCAGCTGACATAGTAATAACAGGATCAAATTCACACATAACAATATGAACCTTAAATGTAAATGGCCTAAATGCTCCAATTAAAAGACACAGACTGGCAAATTGGATAAAGAGTCAAGACCCATCAGTGTGCTGTATTCAGGAAACCCATCTCAAGTGCAGAGACACACATAGGCTCAAAATAAAGGGATGGAGGAAGATCTACGAAGCAAATGGAAAACAGAATAAGGCAGGGGTTGCAATCCCAGTCTTGGATAAAACAGACTTTAAACCAACAAAGATCAAAAGAGACAAAGAAGGCCATTACATAATGGTAAAGGGATCAATTCAACAAGAAGAGCAAACTATCCTAAATATACATGCACCCAATACAAGAGCACCCAGATTCATGGAGCAAGTCCTTAGTGACCTACAAAGAGACGTAGACTCCCACACAATAATAACGGGAGACTTTAACACCCCACTGTCAACATTAGACAGATCAGTGAGACAGAAATTTAACAAGGATATCCAGGAATTGAACTCAGCTCTGCACCAAGCAGACCTAACAGACATCTACAGAACTCTCCTCCCCAAATCAACAGAATATACATTTTTTTCAGCACCACACCACACCTATTCCAAAATTGACCACATAGTTGGAAGTAAAGCACTCCTCAGCAAATGTAAAAGAACAGAAATTATAATAAACTGTCTCTCAGATCACAGTGCAATCAAACTAGAACTCAGGATTAAGAAACTCAAAACCACTCACCTACATGGAAACTTAACAGCCGGCTCCGAAATGACTATTGGGTACATAACGAAATGAAGGCAGAAATAAAGCTGTTTTTTGAAACCAACGAGGACAAATACACAACATACAAGAATCTCTGGGACACATTCAAAGCAGTGTGTAGAGGGAAATTTATAGCACTAAATGAACACAAGAGAAAGCAGGAAAGATCCAAAATTGACACCCTAACATCACAATTAAAAGAAATAGAGAAGCAAGAGCAAACACATTCAAAAGCTAGCAGAAGGCAAGAGATAACTAAGATCAGAGCAGAACTGAAGGAAATAGAGACACAAAAACCCCTCAAAAAATTAATGAGTCCAGGAGCTGGTTTTTTGAAAAGATCAACAAAATTGATAGACCACTGGCAAGACTAACAAAGAAGAAAAGAGAGATCAAATAGACGCAATAAAAAATGATAAAGGGGATATCACCACTGATCCCACAGACATACAAACTACCATCAGAGAATACTATAAACACCACTAT
>NT_187497.1:118607-126158 GCF_000001405.40 Homo sapiens | reverse complement strand
ACAAAGGGAAACCAATCACACTAACAGCAGACATCTCAGCAGAAACTCTACAAGCCAGAAGAGAGTGGGGGCCAATATTCAACATTCTTAAAGAAAAAAAATTTCAACCCAGAATTTCATATCCAGTCAAACAAGCTTCATCAGTGAAGGAGAAATAAAATACTTTACAGACAAGCAAATGTTGAGAGATTTTGTCACCACCAGGCCTGCCCTAAAAGAGCTCCTGAAGGAAGTACTAAACGTGGAAAGGAAAAATTGGTACCAGCCACTGCAAAAACATGCCAAATTGCAAAGACCATTAAGGCTAGGAAGAAACTGCATCAACTAACGAGCAAAATAACCAGCTGACATAGTAATAACAGGATCAAATTCACACATAACAATATGAACCTTAAATGTAAATGGCCTAAATGCTCCAATTAAAAGACACAGACTGGCAAATTGGATAAAGAGTCAAGACTCATCAGTGTGCTGTATTCAGGAAACCCATCTCACGTGCAGAGACACACATAGGCTCAAAATAAAGGGATGGAGGAAGATCTACGAAGCAAATGGAAAACAGAATAAGGCAGGGGTTGCAATCCCAGTCTTGGATAAAACAGACTTTAAACCAACAAAGATCAAAAGAGACAAAGAAGGCCATTACATAATGGTAAAGGGATCAATTCAACAAGAAGAGAAAACTATCCTAAATATACATGCACCCAATACAAGAGCACCCAGATTCATGGAGCAAGTCCTTAGTGACCTACAAAGAGACGTAGACTCCCACACAATAATAACGGGAGACTTTAACACCCCACTGTCAACATTAGACAGATCAGTGAGACAGAAATTTAACAAGGATATCCAGGAATTGAACTCAGCTCTGCACCAAGCAGACCTAACAGACATCTACAGAACTCTCCTCCCCAAATCAACAGAATATACATGTTTTTCAGCACCACACCACAACTATTCCAAAATGGACCACATAGTTGGAAGTAAAGCACTCCTCAGCAAATGTAAAAGAACAGAAATTATAACAAACTGTCTCTCAGATCACAGTGCAATCAAACTAGAACTCAGGATTAAGAAACTCACTCAAAACCGCTCAGCTACATGGAAACTTAACAGCCGGCTCCGAAATGACTATTAGGTACATAACGAAATGAAGGCAGAAATAAAGCTGTTTTTTGAAACCAACGAGGACAGATACACAACATACCAGAATCTCTGGGACACATTCAAAGCAGCGTGTAGAGGGAAATTTATAGCACTAAATGAACACAAGAGAAAGCAGGAAAAATCTAAAATTGACACCCTAACATCACAATTAAAAGAAATAGAGAAGCAAGAGCAAACACATTCAAAAGCTAGCAGAAGGCAAGAGATAACTAAGATCAGAGCAGAACTGAAGGAAATAGAGACACAAAAAACCCCTCAAAAAATTAATGAGTCCAGGAGCTGGTTTTTTGAAAAGATCAACAAAATTGATAGACCACTGGCAAGACTAACAAAGAAGAAAAGAGAGAAGAATCAAATAGACGCAATAAAAATTGATAAAGGGGATATCACCACTGATCCCACAGACATACAAACTACCATCAGAGAATACTATAAACACCACTACGTAAATAAACTAGAAAATCTAGAAGAAATGGATAAATTCCTCGACACATACACCCTCCCAAGACTAAACCAGGAAGAAGTTGAATCTCTGAATAGACCAGTAACAGACTCTGAAGTTGAGGAAGTAATTAATAACTTACCAATCAAAAAAAGTCCAGAAGCAGATGGATTCACAGCCGAATTGTACCAGAGGTACAAGGAGGAGCTGGTACCATTCCTTCTGACGCTATTCCAACCAATAGAAAGACAGAATCCTCCCTAACTTATTTTATGAGGCCAACACCATCCTGACACGAAAGTCTGACAGAGACACAACAAAAAAAGACAATTTTAGACCAATATTCTTGATGAACTTTGATGCAAAAATCCTCAACAAAATACTGGCAAACCGAATCCAGCAACACATTAAAAAGCTTATCCACCATGATCAAGTGGGCTTCATCCCTGGGATGCAAGCCTGGCTCAATATATGCAAATCAATAAACGTAATCCAGCATATGAACAGAACCAAAGACAAAAACCACATGATCATATCAATAGATGTAGAAAAGGCCTTTGACAAAATTCAACAACACTTCATGCTAAAAACTCTCAATAAATTAGATATTGATGGGACGTATCTCAAAATAATAAGAGCTATCTATGACAAACCCACAGCCAATATCATACTGAACAGGCAAAAACTGTAAGCATTCCCTTTGAAAACTGGCACAAAACAGGGATGTCCTCTCTCACCACTCCCATACAACATAGTGTTGGAAGTTCTGGCCAGGGGAATTAGGCAGGAGAAGGAAATAAAGGGCATTCAATTGGGAAAAGAGGAATTCAAATTGTCCCTGTTTGCAGATGACATGATTGTATATATAGAAAACACCATCGACTCAGTCCAAAATCTCCCTCACTTAGGATTGTGAGGGCAAAACATTTAGACACAGGAAGCATTGTTCTGGAATCCACCACCGCCCTCACTGATTGTCCCTCACCTAGGATTCCAGAACATTCCTGATCTGGTCTGAATGTTTCTCCCTCAGACAGGATTCCAGAACACTGCTGCTGGGTTCTGAGTGTTTGTCCCTCACGTACGATTACAGAACACTGATATGTGGGTCTAAATGTTTGTCCTTCACATAGGATTCCAGAACAATCTTGCTGTGGTCTGAATGTTTGTCCCTCACATTTTATTCCAGAACACGGCTGCTGTGGTCTGAATGTTTGTCCCTCACTTAAGATTCCAGAACACCCAAGATGTGGTATGAATGATTGTCCTCACATAGGATTCCAGAACACTGCTACTGGGTTCTGAGTGTTTCTCAATCACATAGGATTCCAGAACAATGCTATGAGTTCCTGAATGTTTGTACCTCACATAGGATTCCACAACACTCCTCTTCCAGTCTCAATATTTCTCCATCAGATAGGGTTCCAGAACACTACTGCTGGGTTCTGAGTGGATTTCCGTCACGTAAGATTCCAGGACACTGTTACGTGGGTCTAAGTGTTTGTCCATCACAAAGGATTCCAGAACACTCCTACGAATGTCTGAAAGTTTATCCATCACATTGGATTCCAGAACACTGCTGCTGGGTTCTCAGTGTTTGTCCCTCACACAAGATTCCGGAACACTGATATGAGGGTCTGAATGTTTGTTCCTCACATAGGACTTCAGAACACTCCTGCTGTGGTCTGAATGTTTGTCCCTTACCCAGGATTCCAGAACACTGTTGCTGTGGTCTGAATGTTTGTCTCTCACATTGGATTCCAAAACATTGCTGCTGTGGTCTGTATGTTTGTCCCTCACATAGAATTCTAGAGCACTCCTGTTGTGGTCTGAATGTTTGTCCCTCACTTAGGATTCCAGAACTCTGCTCTTGGGTTCTGAGTTTTTGTCCCTCAAGTACGATTCCAGAACACTGCTATGTGGGTCTAAATATTTGTCTGTCACATAGAATTCCACAACACTCCTGCTGTAGTCTGAATGTTTTTCCCTCAGATAGGATTCCAGAAAACTGTTGCTGGGATTGAGTATTTGTCCCTCACGTACGATTCCAGAACAAGGCTACGTGAGTCTGCATGTTTGTACCTCATATAGGATTTGAGAACACTGCTAAGAGGATCTGAAAGTTTGTCCCTTAAATAGGATTCCAGAACACTGCTGCTGTGGTCTGAATGTTGTCCTCACTTAGGATTCTAGAACCCTCCTGCTGTGGACTGAATGTTTGTCCCTCACTTAGGATTCCAGAACAGTGCTACGAGGGTCTGAATGTTTGTCCCACACTTAGGATTCCAGAACACTGATGATGTGGTCTGTATGTTTATCCATCACATAGGATTCCAGAACAACTCTACGAGGTTCTGAATTGTTCTCCGTCACATAGGATTCTAGAACACTCCTGCTTTGGTCTGAATTTTTCTGCCTCACATAGGATTCGAGAACACTGCTACGAGGGTCTGAATGATTGTACCTCACATAAGATTCCAGAAAAATCATGCTGTTGTCTGAATATTTGTCCCACAGATAGGTGTCCAGAACACTGCTGCTGTTTTCTGAGTGTTTGTACCTCACGTAAGATTCCAGAACAATGCTACGTGGGTCTAAATGATTGTCCATAACACAGAATTCCAGAACACTGCTAAGAGAGTCTGAAAATTTGTCCATCATATAGGATTCTAGAACACTTCTACGGGGTTCTGAAATATTCTCCATCGTATAGGATTCTACAACACTCCTGCTGTGGTCTGAATTTTTGTCCCCCACTTAGGATTCCAGAACACTGCTGTTGGGTTCTGAGTGTTTGCCCCTCACGTACGATTCAAGAACACTGCTACGTAGGAATAAATCTTTGTCCCTCACATAGGATTCCAGAACATTGCTGCCGGGTTCTGAATGTTTTTCCCTCACATAGGATTCCAGTACACTGCTACGAGGTTCTGAATGTTTCTCCCGAACAAAAGATTCCAGAACACTGTTACGATGGTCTGAATGTTTTTGCCTCACATAGGATTCCAGAACACTGCTGCTGGGTTTCGAGTGTTTGTCGCTCATATAGGATTCCAGAACACAGCTACGAAGGTCTGAATGTTTGTCCATCACATAAGGTTCCAGAACACTGCTACGAGGGTCTGAATGTTTGTCCCTCAGATAGGGTTCCACAACACTGCTGCTTTCGTCTGAATGTTTATCCCTCACATAGGATTCCAGAACACTCCTGCTGTGGTCTGAATGTTTGTCCCTCACATAGGATTCCAGAACACTGCTGCTGTGGTCTGTATGTTTGTCCTTCACTTAGGATTCTGGAACAATGCTACGGGGGTCTGTATGTTTGTCCCACACGTAGGATTCCAGAACACCCCAGCTGTGGTCTGAATGATTGTCCCTCACATAAGATTCCAGAATACTGCTGCTGCATTTTATGTGTTTCTCCCTCTCATGGGATTCCAGAACACTCCTACTGTGCTTTGAATGATTGTCCCTCACTTAGGATTCCAGAACACTGCTGCTGGGTTCTAAGTGTTTGTCCCTCACTTACGATTCCAGAACACTGCTACGTGAGTCTTAATGTTTGTAACTCTCATAGGATTCCATAACACTCCTGCTGTGATCTGAATGTTTGTACCTCACATAGGATTCCAGAACACTGCTGGTGGATTCTGAGTGTATCTCCTTCACATAAGATTCCAAAACACAGCTACAAGGGTCTGAATGTTTGTACCTCACATGCTATTCCAGAACACTGCTGCTGTGGTCTGAATTTTTGTTCATCACAAAAGATTCCAGAACACTCCTGCTGTGGTCTGAATGTTTGTCCCTCGTTTAGGATTTGAGAACACTGCTGTTGGGTTCTGAGTGCTTGTCCCTCAAGTACATTTCAAGAACACTGCTAGGTGGGTGTAAATGTTTGTCCCTCACATAGGACTCCAGAACACTGCTACGAGGCTCTGAATGTTTGTCTCTCACATAGGATTCCAGAACACTGATGCTGTGGTCTGAATGTTTGTCCCTAACATAGGATTCCAGAACACTTCTGCAGTTGTCTGAATGTTCATCCCTCATTTAGGATTCCAGAACACTGCTGCTGTGGTCTGAATTTTTGTTCATCACATAGGATTACAGAACACTGCTACGAGGTTCTGAACTATTCTATGTCACATAGGATTTCAGAACACTCCTGCTGTGTTCTGAATGTTTGTCCCTTACTTAGGATTCCAGATCACTGCTGTTGGGTTCTGAGATTTAGTCCCTCGTGTAAGATTCCAGAACACTGCTATGTGGGTCTAAATGTTTGTCCGTCCCATAGGATTCCAGAACACTCCTGCTGTGGTCTGAATGTTTGTCCCTCATATAGGATTCCAGAAAACTGTTGCTGGGATTGAGGGTTTTTCCCTCACGTACTATTCCAGAACACTGCTACGTGGGACAGAATGTTTGCCCCACATATGGGATTTGAGAACGCTGCTAAGAGGATCTGAAACTTTGTCCCTCAAACAAGATTCCAGAACACTGCTGCTGTTGTCTGAATGTTGTACTCACTTAGTATTCCAGAACGCTACTGCTTTGGACTGAATGTCTGTTCCTCACTTAGGATTCCATAACAGTACTACGAGGGTCTGAATGTTTGTCCCACACGTAGGATTCCAGAACACCCCAGCAGTGATCTGAATGACTCTCCCTCACATAGGATTCCAGAACACTGCTGCTGGGTTCTGAGTGTTTCTCCTCACATATGATTCCAGAACACTGCTTCGAGAATCTGAATGATTGTACCTCATATAGGATTCCATAACACTACTGCTCTGGTTTGAATATTTCTCCCTCAGATAGGATTCCAGAACACTGCTGCTGGCTTCTGAGTGTTTGTCCCTCACATAGGATCCAAGAACACTGCTACGTGTGTCTAAATGCTTGTCCATCACATAGGATTCCAGAACGCTGCTACAAAGGTCTGAAAGTTTGTCCATCACATAGAATTCCAGAACACTGCTATGAGTGTCTGAATATTTGTCCCTCAAATAGGATTCCAGAACACTCCTGTTTGGTTCTGAGTGTTTGTCCCTCACTTACGATTCCAGAACACTGCTACGTGGGTCTAAATATTTCTCCCACACATAGGATTCCAGAACACTCCTGCTGTATTCTGAATGTTATTTCCCTCACATAGGATTCCAGAATACTGCTGCTGGGTTCACAGTGTTTGTCCCACACATAGGATTCCAGAACACTGCTACGAGAGTCTGAATGTCTCTCCTCCACATAGGACTCCAGAACACTGCTATGAGGGTCTGAATGTTTGTACCTGACATAGGAATCCAGAACACTACTGTTCTGCTGTGAATGTTTGTCCCTCACATATGATTCCAGAACACTCCTGCTGTGGTCTGAATGTCTGTCCCTCTCTGAGGATTCCAAAAGAATGCTACGAGTGTCTGAATGTTTATGTCACACGAAGGATTTCAGAACACCACAGGTGTGGTTTGAGTGATTGACCCTCACATAGGATTCCATAACGCTGCTACTGGGTTCTGAGTGTTTGTCCCTCACGTACGATTCCAGAACACTGCTACTTGGGTCTAAATGTTTGTCCCTTATATAGGACTCCAGAACAGTGTTACGAGGGTCTGAAAGTTTTTCCATCACATAGGATTTCAGACACTGCTACGAGTTTCTTAATTATTCCCCGTCACATATGATTCCAGAACAGACCTGCTGTCGTCTGACTGTTTGTCCCTCAGGATACCAGAACACTGCTGGTGTGTTCTGAGTGTTTGTCCCTCACGTAAGATTCCAGAACACTGCTACGTGGGTCTAAATGTTTGTCCCTCACATACTATTCCAGAACAATGCTGCTGTAGTCTGAATGCTTTTTCCTCATACAGGATTCCAGAACACTGCTGCTGGGTTGTGAGTGTTTCTCCCTCACATAGGATTCCAGAACACTGCTACGA
>NT_187497.1:110463-118449 GCF_000001405.40 Homo sapiens | reverse complement strand
TTAGCATTCCAGAACAATGTTACAAAGGTCTCAATGTTTGTCCCACAGGTAGAATTCCAGAATACCTCAGCTGTGACATGAATGATTGACCCTCATATAAGATTCCAGAACACTGCTGCTGGGTTCTGAGTGTTTCTCCCTCACATAGGATTCCAGAACACTGCTACGAGGGTCTGAATGTTTGTCCCACACATAGGATTCCAGACCACTGCTACGATGGTCTGAAACTTTGTCCATTACATAGGATTTCAGAACACTCCTTCTGTGGTCTCAATGCTTGTCCCTCACTTAGGATTCCAGAACACTGCTGTTGGGTTGCGAGTGTTTGTCTCTCACATACGATTCCAGAACACTACTATGTGTGTCTAAATATTTGCCCTGATATGTGATTCCAAAACACTCCTGCACTGGTCTGAATGTTTCTCCCTCAGATAGGATTCGAGAACACTGATGCTGGCTTCTGAGTGTTTGTCCCTCACATACGATCCCAGAACACTGCTACGTGTGTCTAAGTATTTGTCCATCATATAGGATTCCAGAACACTGATACGAGGGTCTGAAAGGTTGTCCATCACATAGGATTCCAGAACACTCCTGCTGTGGTCTGAATGTTTGTCCCTCACTTAGGATTCCAAAACACTGCTGTTGGGTTCTGAGTGTGTGTCCCTTATATAGGATTCCAGATCTCTACTACAAAGGTCTGAATGTTTGTCCCTCACATAAGATTCCAGAACACTGCTATGAGAGTATGAATGTTTTTCCCTCACATAGGATTCCAGAACACTGCTATGAGGTTCTGAATGTTTGTCCCTCACATAGGATTCCAGAACACTGTTGCTGTGGCCTGAACGTTTGTACATCACATAGGATTCCAGAACACTGCTACGAAGTTCTGAATTATTCTCCACACATAGGCTTCCAGAACACTCCTGCTGTGGTCTGAATGTTTGTCCCTTACTTAGGATTCCAGAACACTGCTGTTGGGTTCTGAGTGTTTGTTCCTCACATGGAATTGCAGAACACTCCTGCTGTTGTCTGTATGTTTGTCCCTCACTTAGGATTCCGGAACAATGCTACAAGGGTCTGAATGTTTGTCCCTCACATAAGATTCCAGAACACTGCTACGAGGGTCTGAATGTTTGTCCATCACATAGTATTCCAGAACACTGATGCTGTGGTGTGAATGTTTGTCCCTCACATAGGATTCCAGAACACTGCTATGGAGGTCTGAATGTTTGTCCCTCACAAAAGATTCCAGAACACTACTACGAGGGTCTGAATGTTTGTCCCTCACATAGGATTCCAGAACACGCCTTTGGTGGTCTGAATGTTTGTCCCTCACATAGGATTACAGAACACTCCTGCTGTGGTCTGTATGTTTGTCCCTCACTTAGGATTCCGGAACAATGTTACGAGGGTCTGAATGTTTATCCCTCACATAAGATTCCAGAACACTCCTACGAGGGTCTCAATGTCTGTCCCTCACATAGGATTCCAGAACACTGCTGCTGTGGTCTGAATGCTTGTCCCTCACTTAGGATACAGGAACAGTGCTCCTGTCGTTTGAACATTTCTCCGTCACATGGGATTCCAGAACAGTGCTACGGGGTTCTGAATTATTCTCCATCACATAGGATTCCAGAAAACTCCTACTGTGGTCTCAATGTTTGCCCTGCACGTGGGATTCCAGAAAACCCCAGCTTTGGTATGAATGTTCCTCCTATAGGATTCCAGAACACTCCTGCTCTCGTCTGAATGTTTCTCCCTCAGTTAGGATTCCAGAACACTGCTGCGTTCTGAGTATTTGTCCCTTACATTCGATTCCAGAACACTGCTACGTGGGTCTAAATTTTAGTCCATCACATAGGATTCTAGAATATTGCTACAAGCGTCTGAAAGGTGTCCATCACATAGGATTTCAGAACACTGGTACGAGGTTCCGAATCATTCTCTGTCACATAGGATTCCAGAACACTCCTGTTGTCTGAATATTTGTCCGTCACTTAGGATTCCAGCACACTGCTGTTGGGTTCTGAGTGTTTGTTCCTCACTTACGATTCCAGAACACTGCTACGTGGGTCTACAATTTTGTAACTCACATAGGATTCCAGAACACTCCTGCTGTGGTCTGAATATTTGTCCATCACATAGGATTCCAGAACATTTCTGCTGTGGTCTGAATGTTTGTCCCTCAGGTAGGATTCCAGAACAATGCTATGAAGGTCTGAATGTTTGTCCCACACATAGGATTCCACAACAACCCAGTTGTGGTCTGAATGATTGGCCCTCACATAGGATTCCAGAACATTGCTCCTTTTCTCTGAGTGTTTGTCACTCACATAGGATTCCAGAACACTGCTCCTTTTCTCTGAGTGTTTGTCACTCACATAGGCGTCCACAACACTCCTGCTCTGGTCTGAATGTTTCTCCCTCGAATAGGATTCCAGAACACTGCTGCTGGGATCTGAGTGTTTATCCCTCATATAGGATTCCAGAAGACTGCTACCAGTGTCTGATCGTTTGTACCTCACATAGGATTCCAGAACATTCCTGCTCTGATCTGAATGTTTCTCCCTCAGATACAACACCAGAACACTGCTGCTGGATTCTGAGTGTTTCTCCCTCACTTATGATTCCAGAACACTGCACGTGGGTCTACGTGTTTGTCCCTCACATAGTGTTCCAGAACACTGATGATGTGGTCTGAATATTTGTCCCTCACATAGGATTCCAGAAGACTGCTGCTGGGTTCTGCATGCTTCTCCCTCACATTGGATTCCAGAACACTGCCATGATGGTCTGATTTATTGTACCTCACTTAGGATTACAGGAATTTCCTGCTCTGGTTTGAATGTTTCACCCTCAAGTAGGATTCCAGAACACTGCTGCTGGGTTCTGAGTGTTTGTCCCACACATACGATTCCAGAACTCTGCTACGTGGGTCTAAACATTTCTCCTTCACATTGTATTCCAGAACACTGCTGCCGTGGTCTGAAGGTTTGTCCCTCCCATAGGACTCCGGGACCATGCTGCTGGATTCTCAGTGTTTGTCCCTCAAATAGGATTCAAGAACACTGCTACTAGGGTCTGAAAGTTTGTCTGTCACATAGGATTCGATAACACGGTTGTGAGGTTCTGAATTATTCTCTGTCACATAGGATTCCAGAACACTCCTGCTGTGTTCAGAATGTTCGTCTCTCACTTGAGATTCCAGAACACTGCTGTTGGGTTCTGAGTGTTTTTTCTTCACGTACGATTCCAGAACACTTCTACGTGGGTCTAAATGTTTGTCCTTCACATAGGATTGCAGAACACTGCTGGTGTGGTCTGAATGTTAGTCCATCACTTAGTATTCCAGAACACTGCTGCTGGGTTC
Source organism: Homo sapiens (assembly GCF_000001405.40). Taxonomy (NCBI): domain Eukaryota; kingdom Metazoa; phylum Chordata; class Mammalia; order Primates; family Hominidae; genus Homo; species Homo sapiens. The sequence goes on along the minus strand of NT_187497.1, from coordinate 115,073 downwards.
TGAGTGTTTCTCCCTCAAATAGGATTCCAGAACATTGCTAATAGGGTCTGAATGATTGTCCCTCACATAAGATTTCAGAACACTCCTACGAGGGTCTGAATGTTTGTCCCTCACATAGGATTCCAGAACACTGCTGCTGTGGTCTCAATGCTTGTCCCTCACTTAGGACACCAGAACAGTGCTCCCGTGATTTGAACGTTTCTCAATCACATAGGATTTCAGAACAGTGCTGGGGGTTCTGAATTTTTCTCCATCACATAGGATTCCAGAACACTCCTGCTCTATTCTTAATGTTTCTCCCTCAGTTAGGATTCTAGTACACTGCTGCTGGGTTCTGAGTGTTTGTCCCTTACGTTCGTTTCCAGAACACTGCTAAGTGGGTCTAAATGTTTGTCCATCACATAGGATTCTAAAATATTGTTACAAGCGTCTGAAAGTTGTTCATCAGATAGGATTCCAGAGCACTGCTACGAGGTTCTGAATTATTCTCCGTCACATAGGATTCCAGAACACTCCTACTGTCCTCTGAATATTTGTCCGTCACTTAAGATTCCAGAACACTGCTGTTGGGTTCTGAGTTTTTGTCCCTCACATACGATTCCCGAACACTGCTACGTGGGTCTAACAGTTTGTCACTCACATAGGATTCCAGAACATTCATGCTGTGGTCTGAATGTTTGTCTCTCACTTAGGATTCCAGAACAATGCTACGAGGGTCTGAATGTTTGTCCAACATGCAGGATTCCAGAACACCCCAGCTGTGATCTGAATGATTGTCCCTCACATAGGATTCCAGAACACTCCTGCTCTCGTCTGAATGTTTGTCCCTCACGTAGGATTCCAGAAGACTGCTACTGCTGTCTGAATGTTAGTCACTCACATAGGATTCCAGAACACTCCTGCTGTGGTCTGTATGTTTGTCCCTCCACTAGGATTCCAGAACACTGCTGCTGTGTTCTGAATGTTTGTCCCTCACAAATGATTCCACAACACTCCTGCGAAAGTCTGAGTGTTTGTCCCTCACATAGGATTCCAGAACGCTGCTGCTGGGTTATGAGTGATTGTCCCTCACTTAGGATTCCAGAACACTGTTATGAGGGTCTGAATGTTTGTCCCTCACATAAGATTCCACAACACTGCTACGAGGGTCTGAATGTTTGTCCCTCATTTAGGATTCCAGAACACTCCTGCTGTGGTCTCAATGTTTGTCCCTCACCTAGGATTCCAGAATAATGCTATGAAGGTCTGAATGTTTGTCCCTCACATAGGATTCCAGAACACCCCAGCTGTGGTCTGAACGATTGTTCCTCACATAGGATTCCAGAAGACTCCTGCTATGGTCTACATGTTTATCCCTCAGTTAGGATTCCAGAACACTGCTGCTGGGTTCTGAGTGTTTGTCCCTTACGTTCGATTCCAGAACACTGCTAAGTGGGTCTAAATGTTTGTCCATCACATAGGATTCTATAATATTGCTAAGAGCGTCTGAAAATTGTCCATCACATAGGATTAGAGAACACTGCTACGAGGTTCTGAATTATTCTTCGTCACATAGGATTCCAGAACACTCCTCCGGTCTTCTGAATATTTGTCCATCATTTAGAATTGAAGCACACTGCTCTTGGGTTCTGAGTGTTTGTCCCTCACGTATGATTCCAGAACACTTCTACGTGGGTCTAATGGAATCACATAGGATTCCAGAAAAATCCAGCTGTGGTCTGAATATTTGTCCGTCACGTAATATTCCAGAACATTCCTGCTGTGGTCTGAATGTTTGTCCCTCACTTAGGATTCCAGAACACTACTACTGTTGTTTGAACGTTTGTCGCACAATTAAGATTCCAGAGCGATGCTACGAGGGTCTGAATATTTGTCCAACACGCAGGATTCAAGAACACCCCAAGTGTGGCCTGAATGATTGTCCCTCACATAGGATTCTAGAACACTCCTGCTCTTGTCTTAATGTTTGACCCTCCTGTAGGATTCCAGAGCACTGCTGCTTTGGTCTAAATGTTTGTCCCTCATTTAGGATTCCAGAACACTGCTGCTGTTGTCTGAATGTTTGTCCCCCACGTAAGATTCCAGAACACTGCTACGTGGGTCTAAATGTTTGTCTCACTTATAGGATTCCAGAACACTGCTACGACGTTCTGAAAATTTGTCCCTCAGATATGATTCCAGAACACTGCTGCTGTGTTCTGAATTTTGTCCCTCACAAAGGATTCCTGAAGACTCCTGCTTTGGTCTGAATGTTTGTCCCTCACTTATGATTCCAGAACACTGCTACATGTGTCTAAATGTTTGTCCCTCACATAGGATTCCAGAATATTCCTGCTGTGGTCTGAATGTTTCTCTCTCACATAGGATTCCAGAACAATGTTGCTGGGGTCTGGAATTTTCTCCCTCACATAGGATTCCAGAACACTGCTACGAGAGTCTAAATGATTGTACCACACGTAGCACTCCAGAACACTCGTGCTCTGGTCTGAATGTTTCTCCCTCAGATAGGATTTGAGAACACTGCTGCTGTGTTCTGAGAGTTTGCCCCTCATGTACGATTCCAGAACACTGCTACGTGAGTCTAAATATTTGTCCACCACATAAGATTCCAGAACACTGCTTTTGGGTTCTGAGTGTTTGTCCCTCACATATGATTCCACAACACTACAACGTGTGTCTAAATGTTTGTCCTTCACATAGGATTCCAGAACCCTCCTGCTGTGGTCTGAATGTTTGTCCCTCACATAAGATTCCAGAACACTGCTACAGGATTCTGAATGTTTGTTCCTCACCCAGGATTCCAGAACATTGCTGTTGTGGTCTGAATGTTTGTCCCTCACATAGGATCCCAGAACACTCCTGCTGTTGTCTGAATGTTTGTCCCACATGTAGGATTCCAGAAAAACCCAGCAGTGTTCTGAATGATTGTTCCTTACATAGGATTCCAGAACACTCCTGCTCTGGTCTGAATGTTTCTCCCTCACATAGGATTCCAGAACACTGCTACGAATGTCTGAATGATTCTTCCTCACATAGGATTCCAGAACACTCCTGCTCTGTTCTGAATGTTTCTCCCTCAGATAGGATTCCAGAACACTGCTGCTGGGTTCTGAGTGTTTGTTCCTCAAGTACGATTCTAGAACACTGCTACGTGGGTCTACGTTTGTCCATTACTTAGGATTCCAGAACACTGCTACGAGGGTCTGAAAGTTTGTCCATTACATAGGATTCGAGAACACTGCTACGAGGTTCTGAACTATTTTCCATCACGTAGGATTCCAGAACACTCCTGCTGTCGTCTGAATGTTTGTCCCTCACTTATGATTATAGACCACTGCTGTTGGTTTCTTAGTGTTTGTCCCTCACGAACGATTCCAACACTGCTACTTGGGTATAAATGTTTGTCTGTCACATAGGATTTCAGAACTCTCCTGCTGTGGTCTGAATATTTGTCCCTGTCTTAGGATTCCAGAACTCTGCTGCTGTGGTCTGAATGTTTGTCCCTCACAGAGGATTCCAGAACACTGCTGCTGTGGTCTGAAAGCTTTTCCCTCACATAAGATTCTGAACAGTGTTACGAGGGTCTGAATGTTTCTCCCACACTCAGGATTCCAGAACACACTAGCTGTGGTCTGAATGACTGTCCCTCATATAGGATTCCAGAACACTGCATCTGGGTTCTGAGTGTTTCTCCCTCACAAAGGATTCCAGACCACTGCTACGGGGTTCTGAATATCTGTCCTTCACATAAGATTCCAGAACACGGCTTCATGTGTCTCAATTTTGGTCCCTCACATAAGATTTCAAAACACTGCTGCTGTGGTCTAAATTTTTGTCCCTCACATAGGATTCCAGAACTCTCCTGCTGTTGTCTGAATATATGTACCTCATTTTGGACTCCAAAACAGTGCTACGAGGGTCTGAATGCTTGTGCTACACATGGGATTATAGAACACGCCATCTGTGGTCCGAATGATTGTCCCCCAAATAAGATTCCAGAACACTGCTACTGGGTTCTGTTTCACCCTCACATAGGATTCCAGAACACTGCTACAAGGTTCTGAATGTTTCTCCCTCAGATAGGATTCCAGAACACTCCTTCTCTTTTCTGAATGTTTCTCCTTCACATAGGATTCCATAACTCTGCTACGAGAGTCTGAATGTTTGTCCCTCACATAATATTCCAGAACACTGCTACGAGGTTCTGAATGTTTGTTCCTCACATGGGATTCCAGAGCAGTGCTGCTGTGTTCTGAAAGTTTGTCCCTCACATAGGATTCCAGAACACTCCTCCTGTGGTCTGAATGTGTCTTCTTCACTTAGGATTCCAGAGAAATGCTACGTGGGTCTAAATGATTTTACCTCACATAGGATTACAGAACAATCCGGCTGTGGTCTGAATGTTTCTCCCTCAGATAGGATTCCAGAACACTGCTACGATGGTCTGTATCTTGGTCCTTCACATAGGATTCCAGAACACTCCTGCTGTCGTCTGAAAGTTTGTCCCTCACTGAGGATTCCAGAACAATGCTAGGAGGGTCTGAATGTTTGTCCCACACGTAGGATTCCAAATCATACCAGATTTTGTCTGAATGATTGACTCTCACATA
>NT_187497.1:104657-110175 GCF_000001405.40 Homo sapiens | reverse complement strand
CGGATTCCAGAAAATTGCTGCTGGTTTCTGAGTGTTTGTCCCTCACGTACGATTCCAGAACACTGCTACGTAGGTCTAAAGATTTGTCCTTCTTATAGGATTCCAGAACACTGCTAAGAGGGTCTGAAAGTTTGTCCCTCAGAAAGGATTCCAGAACACTGCTGCTGTGGTCTGAAAGTTGTCCCTCACATAGGATTCCAGAAGACTCCTGCTGTGGTCTGAATGTCCCTCACATAGTATTCCAGAACACTCCGGCTGTGATCTGAATGTTTGTCCAACACGTAGGATTCCAGAACACCTCAGCTGTGGACTGAATGATTGTCCCTCTCATAGGATTCCAGAAAACTCCTGCTGTGGTCTGAATGTTTCTCCCTCACATAGGATTCCACAACATTGCTACGAATGTCTGAATGATTGTAGCTCACATAGGATTCCAGAACACTCCTGCTGTAGTCTGAATGTTTCTCCTTCAGATAGGATTCCAGAACACTGCTGATGGGTTCTGAGAGTTGGTCCCTCACCGACGATTCCAGAACACTGCTACGTGGGTCTAAATGTTTGTCCATTACTTAGGATTCCAGAACACGGGTACGAGGGTCTGAAACTTTGCCCATTACATAGGATACGAGAACACTCCTACGAGGTTCTGAATTATTCTCCATCACGTAGGATTCCAGAACACTCTTGCTATGGTCTGAATATTTGTCCCTTACTTAGGATCCCAGAACACTGCTGTTGGGTTATGAGTGTTTGTCTCTCACGAACGATTCCAGTACACTGCTACGAGGGTCTGAATGTTTGTCCCTCACATAAGATTATAGAACACTGCTACGATGGTCCGAATGTTAGTCCCCCACATAGGATTCCAGAAAACTACTGCTGTGGTCTGAATGCCCCTCACATAGGATTCCAGAACACTCCTCCTGTGGTCTGAATGTTTGTTCCTCACGTAGGATTCCAGAATACTGCTGTTGTTGTCTGAAAGTTTGTACCTCATATAGGATTACAGAACACTGCTAAGAGGGTATTAATCTCTGTCCCTCACGTAGGATAAAAGAACACTCCTGCTGTGGTCTGAATGTTTGTCCCTCACTTTGGATTCCAGAACAATGTTACAAGGTTCTGAATGTTTGTCCCACACGTAGGATTCCAGAGCACCCCAGCTGTGTCTGAATGACTGTCCCTCACATAGCATTCCAGAATATTCCTGCTCTTGTCTGAATGGTTCTCCCACAGATAGAATTCCAGGACAGTGCTGCTGGGTTCTGAGTGTTTGACCCTCACTTATGATTCCAGAACACAGCTACGTGGGTCTAAATGTTTGTCCCTCATACAGGATTCCAGAAAACTGCTACGAGGGTCTGAATGTTGTCCATCACATAGGATTCCAGAATACTGCTACGAGGTTCTGAATTATTCTCCATCACATAGGATTCCAGAACACTCCTGCTGTGGTCTGAATGTTTGTTCCTCACTTAGAATTCCAGAACACTACGGTTGGGTTCTGAGGGTTTGTCCCTCACGTACAATTGCAGAACACTAGTACGTGGGTCTAAATGTTTTTCCCTCACATAGTATTACAGAACACTGCTGCTGTTGTCTGAATGTTTGTCCCTCACAAAGGATTCCAGAACACTGCTGCTGATTTCTGAGTGTTTCTCCCTCACATAGGATTCCAGAACACTGCTACAAAAATCTGAATGATTGTACCTCACAGAGGATCCCCGAACACTCCTGCTCTGGTCCGAAAGTTTCTCCCTCAGATAGGATTGCAGAACACTGCTGCTGGGTTCTGAGTGTTTGTCCCTAACATACAATTCCAGAACACTGCTAAGTGGGTCTAAATGTTTATTCTTCATGTAGGATACCAGAACACTGCTGCTATGGTCTGAATGTTTGTCCCTCACTTAGGATTTCAGAACCATACTACGGGGGTCTGAATGTTTGTCCCTCACATAAGATTCCGGAACACTGATACGAGAGTCTGCGTGTTAGTCCCTCACATAGGATTCCACAGATAGGATTCCAGAACACTGCTGATGTGTTCTGAGTGTTTGACCCTCATATAGGATTCCAGAGCACTGCTACATGTGTCTAAAGGTTTGTCCCTCACATAGGATTCCAGAACACTGCTGTGAGGGTCTGAAAGTTTGTCCATCACATAGGTTTCCAGAACACTGCTACGAGGTTCTAAATTATTCTCCATCACATAGGATTCCAGAACACTCCTGCTGTGGTCTGAATGTTTGTCCCTCACTTAGGATTCCAGAACACTGCTACTTGTTTCTGAGTGTTTCTCCCTCACATAGCATTCCAGAACACTGGTACAAAGGTCTGAATGATTGTACCTCACGTAAGATTCCAGAACACTCCTACTCTGGTCTGAATGTTTCTCCCTTAGATAGTATTCCAGAACACTGCTGCTGAGTTCTGAGTGTTTGTCCTCACTTAAGATTCTAGAACACTGCTACGTGGGTCTAAATGTTTATCCCTCATATAGGATTCCAGAACACTGCTACGAGTTTCTGAATTATTCTCTGTTACATAGGATTCCAGAACTCTCCTGCTGAGGTCTGAATGTTTCTCCCTCACATAGGATTCCAGAACATTTCTGCTGGGTTCTGTGTGTTTCTCCCTCACATAGGATTCCAGAACACTGCTAAGAGGTTCTCAATGTTTGTCCATCACATATGATTCCAGAACCCTGCTACGAGTTTCTGAATTATTCTCTGTTATATATGATTCCAGAACACTCCTGGTGAGGTCCGAATGTTTCTCCCTCACATAGGATCTCAGAATATTTCTGCTGGGTTCTGTGTTTTTCTCCCTCACATAGGATTCCAGAACACTGCTACAAGTGTCTGAATGATTGTACCTCACGTAGTATTCCAGAACTCCCCAGGTATGGTCGGAATGATTGTCCCTCACATAGGATTCCAGAACACTCCTACTCTGGTCTGAATATTTGTCCCTCACGTAGGATTCCAGAACAATGCTACGAGGGTCTGAATGTTTGTCCAACACGTAGGATTACAGAACACCCCAGCTGTGTTATGAATGATTGTCCCTCACATAGGATTCCAGAAAACTCCTGCTCTGGTCTGAATGTTTCTCCCTCAGATAGGATTCCAGAACTCTGCTATGAATGTCTGAATGATTGTACCTCACATAGGATTCCAGAAGACTCCTGCTTTGGTCTGAATGTTCGTCTCTCACTTAGGATTCCATAACACTACTGTTGGGATGTGAGTGTTTGTCCCACACGTACGAATCCAGAACACTGCTATGTGGGTCTAAATGTTTGTCCCTCACAAAGGATTGCAGAACACTCCTGCTGTGGTCTGAATGTGTGTCCGTCACATAAGATTCCAGAACACTTCTGCTGTTGACTGAATATGTGTCCCTCAGTTAGGATTCCAGAACATTCGTGCTCTGGTCTAAATGTTTGTTCCTCACATATTATTGCAGATCACTCCTGTGGTCGTCTGAATGTTTGTCCCTCACATAGGATTCCACAGCACTTCTGCTGTGGACTGAATGTATGTCCCTCACTTAAGATTCCAGAAGACTGCTGTTGGGTTCTGAGTGTTTCTCCCTCACTTACGATTCCAGAACACTGTTACGTGGGTCTGAAGGCTTTTCCCTCACATAGGATGCCAGAACATTGCTACGAGGGTCTGAATATTTGTCCCACACGTAGGATTCCAGAACACCCCAGCTGTGGTCTGAATGACTGTCCCTGACATACGTTTCCAGAACACTGCTGCTGGGTTCTGAGTGTTTCTCCCTCAGATAAGATTCCAGAACACTGCTATGAGGGTATGAATTTCTAAACCTCACATAGGATTCCAGAACACTCCTGCTATTGTCTGAGTGTTTGTCCCTCATGTAGGATTCCTGAACACTCCTGCTGTGGTCTAAATGTTTGTTCCTCACATACTATTTCAGAACACTCCTGCTGTCATCTGAATGTTTGTCCCTCACATAGGATTCCAGAACAATGCTACGAGGGTCTGAATGTTTGTCCCACACTTAGGATTTCAGAACACCCCAGCATTGGTCTGAATGATTGTTCCTCACATAGGATTCCAGAACACTGCTGGTGGGTTCTGAGTGTTTCTCCCTCACATTGGATTCCAGAACACTGCTACGAGGTTCTGAATAATTGTACCTCACATAGGATTCCAGAACACTTGTAAGAGGGTCTCAATGTTTGTCCCTCACATAGGATTCCAGAACACCGCTACAAGAGTCTGAATGTTTGTCCCACGCATAGGACTCCAGAACACTCCTGCTGTTTTCTAAATGTTTATCCCTCACATAGGATTCCAGAACAATGTTGCCAGGGTCTGAATGTTTGTCCCACAAGTAGGATTCTAGAACACCCCAGCTGTGGTCTGAATGATTGTCCCTCACATAGGATTCCAGAACACTGCTTTTGGATTCTGAGTGTTTGTCCCTCACGTAAGATTACAGAACACTCTCACGTCGGTCTAAAAGTTTGTACTTCACATAGGGATCCATTTCACTGCTACCAGGATCTGAATGTTTGTCTCTCACATAGGATTCCAGAACACTCCTGCTGTGGTCTGAATGTGTGTTCGTCACATAGGATTTTAGAACATTCCCGCTGTGGACTGAATATTAGTCCCTCACATACGATTCCAGAACACTGCTGTTGGGTTCTGAGTGTTTGCCCCTCACGTTCCAGAAAACTTCCACCTGGGTCTAAAAGTTTATGCCTCACATAGGAATCCATATCACTGTTATCAGGGTCTGAATGTTTGTCCTGCACATAGAATTCCAGAACAGTCCTGTTGTGTTCTAAATGTTTGCTCCTCACATAGGATTTCAGAACATGCCTGCTGTCCTCCGAATGTTTGTCCTTCACTTAGGATTCCAGAACCCTCCGGCTGTGGTACAAAGGTTTGTTCCTCGTATAGGACTTCAGGACACTTCTGCTGTCGTCTGAATATTTGTCCCTCACATAGGATTCCACAACACTCATGCTGTGGTCTGAAGGTTTGTCCCTCACTTATGATTCCAGAACACTGCTACGTGGGTCTAAATGTTTGTCCATCACATAGGATTCCAGAATACTGCTACGAGGGTCTAAATATTTGTCCCTCACATAGGATTCCGGAACACTGCTACGAGGGTCTAAATATTTGTCCCTCACATAGGATTCTGGAACACTCCTTTTGTAGTCTAAATGTTTGCTCCTCACATAGGATTTCAGAACAATCCTGCTGTCTTCTGAAGGTTTGTCCCTCATATAGGATTCCAGAACACTCCTGCTGTGGTCTCAATGTTTGTTCCTCACATAGGATTTCAGAACAATCCTGCTGTGGTCTGAATGTTTGTCCCCCACTTAGGATTCCAGGACACTGCTGTTGGTTCTGAGTATATGTCCCTCACGTACGAATCCAGAACACTGCCATGTGGGTCTAATATTTGGCCCTCACATAGGATTCCAGAACCCTGCTACGAGGGTCTGAAAGTTTGTCCCGCACATAGG